>NC_000001.11:243911394-244062909 GCF_000001405.40 Homo sapiens | reverse complement strand
GAATGTAAATTTTAAAATTCAGGATACAGATGTAAGCTTGGAATTGTTTTTGGTTAGAAGGCTTAAACGTTCTGTTACGTTAGGAGAGAGAAAAAAAAGCATATATGTACTACTAAATAAGAATAACAATAGGAGGATTGATCGCCTTAGTCTTTGAGGGTGTTACTTGACTGACTTTTAAACAGAAACACTCCAATCATTTAAAATCCTTCCATACTGGTCAAGCCTACAAACCGCCTGTCATACTTTGACTAAAATATTATTTTTACTGCAAGATAAGCACCTTTACAAAGCAAACTGAATACATGATGACAAACCCTCCTTTCCTCCCCCTTTTGCACAGAAGTGATTCTAGTACTGCTTTGAGGCATCCCTCAAGTAAAATAACATATAAATAGAATGTGAGAAATCACCACATTTTCTAGACTTCACACTTACTATGAAAAGCAAAACTTCATTGTGACCCAACATATTCCCTAATTTATTTTTTTCCTTTAACCTAAGGATTTCATCCAATTCGATGTCGTTTATTGTCATGAGCCCCTGGAAAATGCCTCAGCTCTTTCATCTGCATGCTCAGCCCTCCCTCAGTGGGAATATGCAGTTTGCTGGTACCCAGTGGTAAATAGGGCCCATTTCAAATACAGTGTTCATTTTAAATTTGTTTCGATTTTTTCAGAATGGTAGAAAGTCAGACACAAAAACAAACTTGGCTTGAAAATTCAGTTGTGCAATGGTGTCAAAATCACTTGATGCATAAAATTTACCCTCCTATAGTAAATAAAAGGACATTGAGAAACAGAGAGAACTGACTATAAAGTATGAATTTTAGTTTTCATCTCAACAAAAATCAGAACCTAAAGGAATATTCCATCTGCCAGACTTCAGTTTCTTTCGGTTTATTCAGTTGCAAAGTCTTGGAGATTTTGAAGAGATCTTAAACAAATTTTATGCGAAGGGCTCGTGGATAATGACTATGCTTTGAATATAAACCTGTCCCATTCTCCCTCATCACATGCATAAGCATGAGACCTTCTTTCTCAAAAACAGGTAGTTATAAGAATAACTTTTATAAATTAGGTTTTCTTGAGCTATGGTTCTATGCTCAAATTTCTTCTACTTCATAAAGCTTTTAAGTGACACTCAGAAACCATTATAATTAGAAAAAAATAGATTTTTTTAATACACTAAAAACAAATCGTTGGCACCAACGTCTATGGTAACTATGGTTCACAAACAATGACTATTTTTCTTAAATGTTTTAATTACCTATTAGTGTACTATTGTGCTTTTCCAAAAATTATCCAAATACACATCCTTAGGAAGCATTGCTGCCTAGTAAACATGCAGTTGGCATTTCAATATTACCAAACAGCTAATTTACATGATATAGTTCCAAAGACATGGTCCACAGAAAAGGTATGTTTATATTTTGAGGCTGTTTTCAAAAACAAATTTTAAGAGAGTCAGATGAAAAATCTAAATGCTCTTACTTTGATCAAAGATCATTTCAGAGCATTAGACATACAAAAATATTTGGGTCTTTAAAATCCTCTCAAAGGTAAACTGCATTAAATATGATTTTTAAGATAAAATGAATGTGTCCTGTTTTACAGTTTTAAGTAATATATATTTATAAATCATACACGATAAAGATCCATCCTTGTAAGCTGCCACATATCAAAAGTTAGCTCTGGTTTGGCATATAGCATCCATAAATAAGGTTATGCTATTCTTTCAGGTTCATACCACTGTAGATGCATTATGTATTGAAACAACACATTTAATCTGTCCTATAAATGTTTACCAATATTCAAATACGTTTTCCAAGCTCCACTTCATATTAACTACAAATATACCCTTTACAAACATGAATATTTGGGGCAATATGACTTTTTAAAATTCCTATGTAGTCATATTAACCATACATATTGACATTTAATAAAAGCTACTTGATTTAATGATTAACTAAAGAGATTATAACAAACTGTAAATAAGTCATTTCCGTGAATGGACTCTCTCTGGGTGTCACACGGCCTCTCAAAGCCACTCTAAATATCCTCACTGAAACTGTTACTGACTAATGTGCTACATTTTAAAGCCAAATTGGGTTTTCACTCCTTTCTTGCCAAACTAACTAGAGAATGCCTCCTATAGCAAATTGCAAGCTTGACTGCAAACCCATTTCCAAAGATTAGAAAAGGGAGATACCTTATTTGGCCATATGTGCCCCAAAAGTCAAGAAAAATTTTGGTTTTCAAAGAATATATATATACATTTTTTGTGAAGTACCTACAGCTAAAGAAAAGTACCATGATCACATAAACCTAGGAATTATGATGCACAGTACATTAGTAAATGCTAGAATCAAATCAGGAAATTTACCTGGATAATTCATCCCTCTCAAAAAAAATGCTGATTTATTGCAAGTACTTAAATATTTTTAGACAAATACTATCCTATAAGCCTGAATTACCTGGATGATTAATTCAACAATTTATTTAGTGTAAGCAGATACATTATAAAGTATTTAGACTTAAAAAAAAAAAACAACTTTTCATGCCATTGTTCCATTTATATGACCTCATCCTTTCTGATTACAGTGTTTTAAATTTGGAGTTTAGCTTCTTTCACAAGAAATTACAAAAGTTAATTAGTAAAGATTTTTTTAAGGGGTTGGTTCACAAAAATACTGAAAGTCCAATTTCTAAAGTGCCTCTGAAAATGAATTTCTAAAAACCTCCCGTGTCATCAATAAGATCTGATTACTTTAGCTATCCTTTTATAATATTAAGGAAATGTAAGCAAGGGCGGAGGTCCTAGAAGCATAAAATGTTTCTTTTTTATGGAAGTAAACCTACTCGGAGTCAAAAGATAAACGGTTCTACATTTTAAACCAAGGGATTATATACAAAGATATTTTGCCGTGTTTTTGTAGGCAAAGGTACAAAAATTTTAACATAAGGGACAAAATCCTGTCAGTATAATAAACTTGGACTACAGCCAAAATGAAACTCCTAAAAGCTATTCGCTTTTAAAAAATAAAACTATTCCTTTATTTTTAAAGATGGTATCTTTAGCATTTTAATGTCAAGTAATTTCAGTGAAAAGGACGGAGCTTTTCTTTGCCGCATTTCAAATTCACACTCAATTCACTGTACCTTATCAGCAAATTCAAGCATTGCAACAAACAATTATAACAAAAATTTAGGTCAGTATCTACAAATTAAAATATAAAATTATCTCAGTTTCCTAGTCAGAGCATGTGAAACTTTCCCTCGTTATAGTGGAAATCAAAGAATGTTTTAAGCTTTATAGGAATAAAATAGTCATGCCATGCAGGAAATTTTGAGGTCTTAAGACCATTAAAAAAAAAATCTTATATGTACAATGGGATTTCTTGAGTCAAGGCTTCATGGAGTCAGTGAGTCGGTGTGTGTTTTATACGTAACACTTGGAAGTTCGAGATTTTTTAAGTAGTGCCACTTCTTGGTAAAAAAAAAAAAAAAAAAGATTTTTTGATGGTAGTTAAAAAGATTTACTTGGAAAATGATTATTTTGGCCATTTTAACTGTTCTAAAATGTTAATATAGTATTCCCCTTTTTCCAACCTTTCAATAACCTATTTGTAGATATTCATAACAAATGTTAAAGAAAAACTCTATTTGATTCACCTATTAATCTGATAGCATAATTAACCAGAAAGGAAATCCGAAACTAGTATCCTTAACACTTTATACTTCTTGGATCTTCCCTAGGGTACCCCTAGCACACAATGCTGAACCCACATCAATCCAGTGCATAATTGATTATCTAAAGGAAAAAGAAGTTTTCTAAAGTAAATAAAACTACATATTTAAAATATACTATGTATCAGCCAGATGTCAAAGGAGGGATCAGTTTTAATGGTTTCCAACATGATCACATGACAAATTAATTTCCTTTTTTAAATGTGGCAAATAAATGATTCCTTCATTTCACTTACCAAATGTGGCAGTTTGTGTAATTAATATTCTGTTCTAGTTTTGCAAAGAATGTTTTAAGAAGTTACTTCTTCCAAATCATGTCAAAATATTATTTTTATAAGTATATCCAGTTAAGATTGTTAAGATAATGTTCCTTACTTAAAATTAGATGTTAGTCCACAGAACTAAATTCAAGTAAACGCTCAGCATCTTCAGGAAGCTTTGAGATACTCTGACCAGTTACTATAGGAACTGAAAATAAAAAGTCCCCCTCCCTCCCCTTTTTGTAAGCTTGTAACTGCTCAAGAAATTATTCTATGGGGGTCAAATGTACATTCCCCTTTCATGTGAAACAGTATTTGGCTGGTTAAAACCAAGGATGAGTTACATACTTTAAAAATTGTTTTAGAAAAAAAAAAAAAAAGGCAGGGGGATGGAAATTAGGATTCCAAATTATGTTATTATACTTCATGACAAAATCCCTGTGGCTTCCTATCCAAAGCCACCAGGTAGTTGGTAAATGGTCCATTTTCAAACTTCAGACCTTATATCCCACTTCTGTAGGTTAAAAATATTGACCTTACTATAGGCCACTGAATATAAACATAGTTTGACAGTAATAATGTAAAATTTCATAGTCATATTTCTATTTAAGGTTGGAAGTTAGAGACAAGCACGGTTTACAAAACCTCTCCATGCCTGCACCTGACTGCTTGAGCTTAGGGTTGTTTGTGACAATTCCTCTACAGTATCATCCGCATGTGTGAGTGTTCTGT
Organism: Homo sapiens; assembly: GCF_000001405.40. Classification (NCBI taxonomy): domain Eukaryota; kingdom Metazoa; phylum Chordata; class Mammalia; order Primates; family Hominidae; genus Homo; species Homo sapiens. The sequence goes on along the minus strand of NC_000001.11, from coordinate 244,058,168 downwards.
CAATTCCCTACCCAGGTCAACCAGCAATGTTTCTCACCCTGACATGTACCCAACTAGATAAGCATGAAGTTGGGACAATCATAAAAAGTAGGGAACAGAGTTCTTTTAATGGTCCATGTATTTAATTACATGTTTAAATTAAAACTTGAGAATTAAAACCTAGAAACTTTCGAGTTCTCCCAGCAACAAAAAGGATGTATATAGCTAATCGTGAACAATTGCATGCCTGCTAATTCAATTGCCTAGAATTCCAGTCATTAGCCAAGCAGTCTTCCAAATTAAAACATCCGGTCTCCTTCAATTTTCCACTTAAACCAGAACACAGGAGAATAGATTTGACCGATCAACTTAGGATAAAATTACACACGAAAAGTGACTTACGGTATATGGATTAGTAGTTGTACAGTGTATTTTTAACAACCTATGCTGCCACGTAGTTTCATGATTCATGAGTTTCTAGGGAATTACCTCAACATTCTTGATGTAGATTGTGAAAATGGGTCGCATTTTTTAAATGTGCATTTAGTATCTTCTTAAGTGACTAGAATGCTTACACATTTTCCACTCGAGTGATTTAAGGCATTCTAATAATTTCATAAACTCCGAATAGAATTGATATTAAAGATGCCAGGTATGATACATATTTAGAATCTATACACTACATAATCACAATAAAAAATACACACAAGAAATTCTCAGTTCATATAATTTATTGCAGTTAGCACACAGTTTAAAAATTCACCAACACACCAATAGTACAAAACTAAACAGCATTATAAGTTATTCCCCCTCAGGAAAATAAAACATACTATGATTGTCAAAGCTAGATGTCAGTCTAAGTTTTAGAACAAAGGAAGAATGTGAAACTAAGAAAAGGAAAAAGCAATCACTCACAATGACCACAAAAAGAAAATCCAAAAGAAAGTCCGTTTTCTCACAGACATTGATTGTCTTCTCTAAATTAATAAAAATTATTTTAACATAAACTGTATTTTAAAAAAACTAGAAACTCTTCAAGTAACTAAAGATAATGCTCCAAGGCCATTTTCACAGCTTTTTTTGTTTGTTTGTTTGCTTTAAATGCCATTACAGCCAAATTAACACACATTTAACCAAATATTTCCAAAACAGTCCAGCAACACACAATGGAGTTTTCCATTCAGTATCTTAAGCACAAAAATAGGCTATGTTTACAGTAGTTAAGGCGATCAAATTTTAAACAAAAGCAATTAAAAAAAAAAGGGAAAAACAGCAAACGTTTTCCATGCTACTCCCATAGACCTTATTTGTAAGTGCAAGACAGGAAAACAAACACTGTGCAAAATGCTTTTGCCTTGCGTGCTGGTCATTAAAACCACACGTTAGGCTGCAGCCTCTGCTGCCGCAATCCACATAGTCTACTAACCCCCTTCCCCATGTCAATCAAGGCAGTCCAGTCCTTTCAGCCTGGGGCTTTTTCAGTCCATAGAATCTTTTCATGAGTTGGGGGTGGAGGGTGGTGGTGGGGGGGGAGAGTAAGGGAGGGAGGGTAAGGAGGAAGGGGAGAAAAAGAAAAAGGGAGCAAACAAAAAAAAAGAGAGAACGACCTATTGTCAACTTGTGCAGTAGTTATTCTAAGAACGCTCAACTGGGTAAATGTGTACACCTAAACTCTGAGCTGGCATGGGTTTTGTGCAATTAGAAGTTTGTTATAAATGCACACTGCACATGCAAATCTTTAAGCTGTTTGTAAACATTTATATTTTCCTTGTTATGTAGCGAAGTTATCAATTTGCAGCTTAAGTTTTTATTCAGCTTAACAGTTTCAACTTAAAGACAGTGGGAAAGTCAATTTAAATTATATAAAATAAAAATAAAAACAGTGCATTTACGTTCTTCATAACACCAGTTTTTTTTTCCAAATGGTGTTATTTTTCTAAGGAAATTAAATAATTTTAAACTCACTCGTTAAAGTTATACAATGCAAACAAAGACAAAAAATATATTGAAACTCATGCATTTCTGTAGCGTTAATATTTACTTTTCAAGACTCAACTAAGAGCATCAACACAACCTGTCAAGTTCTTTGACACCCCCCCAGCCCATGTAATCAATTACAGTATACAATAACAGTAATTCACATTTTTAAACACACAGTTCAACACTGCTGAAGCTGCAATATCCTTTTTCATCCCAAGCAAACCTTCATAAGACAGTGTCCCAGTGATCCCAGTGTACTTTCAGCATTTCTCTCACTGGGAACTGTCAGAAAACCAGAAGTTGCCACAGAAAGTTTTAAGTCAACTGCTTGTTTAAAAATAGATAATCCAGCATTTCAGAAATTTTCCATTTGGGTCTAAAAGCATTCAGGTTTCCAACAGCCAGAAAAAATTCATGCAATTTGAGACATATAAAGAGGCTAATAAAACTGGAGGGAATTTCTACTTAAAAAAAAAAACAAAAAACAAAAAAACTTTGTTGGGGGGGAAAAAAGAGCTCAAAAGACAATGCAGTGTTGACAAAATTAAGCCATATGAAAGCATTTTGTGACAGGACGATTTGTTTAAAAGGTTCTTATTGGCTTACTTCCCCTATCCCCTCAAAGGAAAAACACCTCTCTATTCTGACTTGCTCTAAAGTTTCTTTTATCAGAATGCTAAATTAGTGAGATTCTCATGCTATTCTAAAGTGCAAAAACAAGTTAATATCCCAACTTTTTATTTCCAGGAAACAAGACTGCTTTTAGACCGTACCACAACTATATAGAGATCTATTTATATATATGTATATATATATATATTATTTATATATATATAAAATTATTTCCAAAGTTCTTGAGAGCTATCTTCTAAGGTCCAGTCTCTGACAGTAGGCAAGCTCAGTGCTTCGCTTTTGACCGACAAGGAGTTCACCAACTCACAGTGGAACTTGCGAATGTGTCTGTACAGGTCCCCGGACTGCGTGAACCTGCGCTCGCACCACTTGCAGGCGTGCGGCTTCTCGCGGGTGTGCACCACGGCATGGCGGCTCAGGTTGTGCGAGTACTGGAAGCTCTTGCCGCACTGGGTGCATGTGTAGGGCTTCTCCCCCGAGTGAGTCCTCTCGTGGCGCTTGAGGGTGTACATGCAAGAGAAAGTCTTCCCACACAGCGAGCACGTGGGCACGTTGACATCGGCGGCGGGCTTGCTGCGGATGCCGTCCTGCTCGCGGAAGTGCGTGCTCAGGTGGATCTGCAGGATGTGGGGGCTGGGGAAGACCTTGTTGCACAGGGGGCACATGAAGATCTGGCCCGCGGGGCTCAGGATGTTGGAGACGTAGGGGAGCAGACTGCTCTCCATGCCTCCCTCCACCTGGACACGCTCGCTCTCTGGGGTCATCATCTCATCATCACTGGCTTTGTCCTCCCGGTCCAGCTCCCTCAAGACCGAGTCCTCCCTCAGGGGAGCCAGATGGGCCGGCTCATACTGTACCCTGTTATTAGTGCTCACACTTTCTTTCACAGTGCTATGTTCCATGTCATAGTCATTAGTGCCAACATCACTCTCATCACAGGAAGCCTCTTTCTCCACCTTCACCTGCACCAGGTTGCTTCTCAGCACGTCCTGTGAAGAGAAATAAGAGCTGTTCAGATTTTCAACTCCTGAAAGGCTGGACTTGACAGACAGGTCCAGCACACAGTCAACATCTGCCGAATCCCTCACGGAGGTGACAGACCTCTGGGACAAAGACTCTGTTGAGCTGCAGGGGCTGGCTACTGTTTTTCCAGCTGCTGTGGCGTGTGGCTCTGCCTCTCCGCCAGCCTGGGGGATGCCTGCTGAGTCTGAGGGCAATCGCATCCACATGTTCCCAGGCTCGGCCGCCAAGTCCCTTTTGCTGGGCAGGATGTTCAATTTTTCATCTTCTCCTTCATCTTCATCACTGGGCAAATCGCCTGCTATGTGGCTGCTGCCATCGGAGAGACTCTCGACTTTGTCCGAACAACTTGAAGCATCTTCTTCCTTTTTGGTGCTGTCTGCCTCCGTGGTGGCTTTCTCTTTCAGCTTCTTTTTGCAGACTTTGACAATGTCATACATGTGGAGATAACTGGCAGCTGCTAGCACGTCTTCAATGGGCAAGTCTTTGAACTGGAGTTTCCCTTCATACATGAATTCAAGCAGGAGAGCGAAAGCGGGGGCTGTAACAATGTCGCTGTTCAGATGAACAATGTCTCTTTTGTCCAGCTGGTCCTTGTAAAAGAGGTGGAAATACATGCTGCATGAAGCCAGTACAGCTCGGTGCGCTCGGAACTGGGCATCTCCCACCAGAACAGTGCAGTCACAAAGAAAACCCTGGTGTCTCTGCTCGCTCAGACACTGTAGCAAATGTCTACTATGGTCTGGAAACTCCATACTGTCTTCATAACCTGGGGAGAGAGGAATTTCTCATTAGAGCCTGGTCAGGAACAACTTTTCAGCGCTCCAGTCCCCATATAAAAAAATTAATTCCGCTTTGGCCGCCGTGGTACATGTCCCTGAATTTTAATCAGGCTTATGACCCAAGCACCACCAAATCACACGGACAAGACCTAAATGCCAGAAGGAAAATGCACACTTTCTGAACTTCCTCACCCCCGCCAAAGAGCTTCCGACGCATCTCCATCTTCCTTGAACCCAAGTTCTAAAAGCCTTCCTTTAACTACAGTCTCTCACTAAGAATAAGAATTTAGATCTCTTCCAGAAGAAATTTAATTAACTCTACTTATCAAATTATGTCCCACAAAACCTACAAAATAGCTTTAATTTCAAAGGGAACAACTCATATAATAAACAAAGAAAAGTCCCAAACATATCCTGGAACATACAAGAAAACTTGTTCAACCATCCTTTTTATTACTTTTGCTACCTGACTGTGCTTAGAAAGCACAGTTTAAACACACACACACACATTTGGCTGAATCAAGAAAAAAAAATGAAATTGCATAATTAGTCCAGAAATTAGCAAACAACTTACTTTTAAAGTCAGGGTGTTACAACAAAAGCCCTGTGTATAAAAACAGATGTTAATGCCTTCAGATTTGCAGGTATAGCACACATGTACGAGATCAGAAGGAGCTGCACCAACAGATGGAAAAGATCATCTTTACTATGAACAAATCCAAAGATTTTTCAAAACGAACTGAGAAAAAAGTAGTTACATTTCTTTGTAGAAACTGTACTTTCAGAATATTAGGAACCAGAGGGGCTTTACTGAACTCCGAAAATTCTCATCTAAACTTTGATCCGTTGCAAGGCAAAATGAGTTTCATATTGAAATTAATTCAAACTTTTAAAAATAAAGGCATACAGCGCTTAAATAAAACTCAAAAGCTTTACAGGTTCAACGTTTTTTTTTAAGCCTTTTTAGAAAAAGAGAACCTTTTTTTTTTTCCTGGTTCTGCCTTACCTCAGCCAACAGAAAATACTTTGTTTCAATATAATTTGATATATTTCTGTTTTCCCACTAGCTTCTATTCTTGCAAATATTCATCATTGCCCTTGTTTTGTGATGAGGGAAAGTGAAATGGAGGGAGGAGAAAGGCAAAGATGTACAAAGGGTCAGAATTCAACTGCAGTGGGTAAACTCCTGAAAAATAAAGAAGACCCGACTTCCCCTTTCCTGTGACCAGAAGCAAGCCTCCACACCACCCATCTCAGCAAGTGCATTTTGGGAATAGATACACTTAATTTAATATTCAGAAATTACTTCCTTTCTTCTTGTTCTTCTACACTTTGCCCAAGACAGACTAAAACTTTATCCTAACCCCAGACACATTCTGCAAGATGCCACTGCTAGAATAAACTAAGATTTACAATACAATCACTTTAAGTGCCCCACAGCTAACATCAATCCTAATCCTTGAGAAGGCTAAAAATAAAGATTGGAGGGCAGCTCACAAGGTAGCCGTGATCAAATTAGGAGGCTGAGAGGACAGAGAGGGACGAAGAAGGAAGCTTATAAACATCTGATCCAGCTGACTGTGGCCATATGGCAGCTGCTGCCCAGATAAAGAGATTAAGAATAGAGGAGTGCGATTACAGCTGTCTGGCCAATTCAGGCAGCTCAAATCTACAAGTTCTAAATTAGTCGCTAACACAAAAACTCCTGCAAATAATTATTGTTATGCTGAAATAAAAGATCTCTTAAATATATATTTGAAAGAGAAATGAGGAAACCAGTCAAACTATTCTCCTGGGGACAAAAGTTTGGTTTTTTTTTCTTCTTCTTAAAAACCTGCAGTTTCAACAGCACTACAGCTGTATGTTTCAGTAGTGCTGCTCAATGTTTTGAAGAATAAAGTTTCACAGAGGAATTAATTATACAACAATCTAGCTGCTTAACTAGAATAATCTTCTCATATAAGTTTGAATGCTGGATTCCAGTTTACTATTTCCCCACCACCACCACCCCAATCAAATCTAAATAGCAGTGAACAACAAAAAAGCATTTTAATCCAACGTGATTTCCAAAAGCAGCATTTTAAAGCCTTTCTTAACATTTCAAAACTTGAAATATTTGTGTATTAAAGTTATTTACTCGCTCAAGTAAAAGGGATAAAAAATTAAAACTAAACAAGCTCAAGACTTTCAACTCCAGTAAGATGTTCATTTAATACTCAATTTCATATATTATTCCTAAACTGGGTTAGAAAAGTAATGTGATTTTTAAAATTAAATAAACAAAACACCAAAACAGAAATATGCTCAATCTAATCTCTTGCTACTCCTACCTTTAGGACACATAAACCTGATTAAGTCCTTTCCTCTGAGTCCTGCTGGCTCCAGGTCTGTTACATCGGTGGAAAAAAAGCAGACTAAGAGAGACAGATGCAAAGTGGAGATGATGTTAGAGAGGAATGAGATACCTTCTCCACCACAGATCCGCACACACTAACTCCCTGTCTGTGTGTTAGAATAAAAGGCTGAGGGATGGCAGGCTGTCAGCTGCTCTGACATCATGTTCAGATGGAAATGCTACCTCCAGCTGTGCTCCTTTTAATGCCATATGCTACTCCTCTACACTCCTGCCACCAGCTTTTTCTTAGGAGAACTTTTCTCTTCTGTTAGTATAAACAAAATACTTCAAAGTCTTCCTTTTTTTCCAAACTTTCTAACAGAAGAAATTGAAAAACTCAGCATATGGAGTTCTACTGTATTTATGGAATAGCAACACTTCTGTCTTAAGTTGGTGGACTGGCTTACATACTGACAGCACACTCAAGCCACGGTGCTATTCAGGAAATCCAGATTCACTTTTATTCAACTCCAACGTTTAGTTTCTAAAGCAGTTTAGGGATATTTTTAAACCAACCCATTTGACATCTCCAGTCCCATTTCAACATTATTACCGCACTTTTTTATTTTTTTCTGCTGAGATAATGGTATACATGTCTCAAATGTTGGCAGACTTGTTCAGAACTATTACTTCAGACTGGTTCACCTTATTATTTCACTCTTATGTAATTACTTATCTACAACTACCTTCTCAGAAAAATTTCTTACACTGCCACAGTCAATGCAAATTTCAATTCTCGGTACCAACAAGCTGAAACTGCACTTTCTGAAATCCTGGAAAGTACTTCAGTTCAACGAGACCAATTAATAAACTGATACAACCTGCTCCAGTCACTTAAAATGAATGCTGCACCTGCATATCTGATCTTTCTGCTCAGAAAAAGCAGAACCTTGCCTTCCCCTTGATCTGTGTCCCTTAACAATCTTTTTTTTCTTTGGGGGGGGGTCACTCTAATGTTTATGATCACAAGAAAATCTTTGTGTGGGGGGAAGCCAGGTCTAGTAAGTTTGAGAACTTTTCAGCCAGTTTGTGGGTCTTTTCTAATAGCTGATGAAACTGTAACGCGACCCGGGCTGGGCTGACCGGTACCGGGCAGGGTGCTGCGACATCTCTGAATGTCAAATACATCTCCTCAGACTCTTGGGAGGGCGAGGGGTAGAAAAGGAACTGGGGCCTGAGGCGCCAGCGTCCCAGCCCTGGTGATAACCACTTCGTTCCCATTAGAAAGCCGTGGCGGAGAGTTAAAGAGTAACAAAACCCGACGACTCCGTCCTGTCCTTCTCGCTTTCCCAAAGTCACAAACCTAACTTTCTCCAACTTCGCGGTGAGTGACATAATTATGAACACTTAGTCCAGGAGACATCCTCGGGAGATCAATTTCTTCCCAGCCACACCACCTATTCTCCACAAATGCCCTCGACCCATTCCAATATATCAGACATTAATCACCCCATTTACCCAGTGGGGTGGGGGGTGAGTGACAGTTTAATGAGTCCCGGGCACCGCAATGGGCCAGCAACTCCCACTCCACAAATCAACCCCTTCACGTCTCGCTACCGCGGATCCATAGAGGTTTTGTGAGGTTGGGGTTTTGTTTTTCAGAGAGGTGGGGGCGGGGGTGCCGAGTGGGGAAGCAATGCAAATCTTTACGTAGTTCGCCGTGCATAAAACACACGGGGAAAGAGGAAGGTTAAAACCACAGGGAAGGAGGTGGAGGGCGCAGAGCCGGTGCAGCAGGAAAACACCTTAAACAACAGAGGAGAAAACAGACCCGGGTCACGGCAACAACAAAAGAAAAGTCGTAAGAAGCAGCCAGCGGGAGGAGAGTGGTTGCTACCGCTTCCCCGATGCCGCGACGCGCGAGCCCCCGGGGCCTCCGGGCAACTGCACCAGCCCGGGAGGGCCCCCTCCCCCGCCGGCCCCCTCCCCCGGGCGCCACTGCAGCTGCACCGGTCCCCGGAGCCGCGGCCGTCCCGGGCGCCACTGCAGCTGCGGCTGCTCCCAAGCCCCCTCCCCCAGCCCGCCGCCCTCCGCACCCGAGAGGCGCCACCGCAGCTGCACCGGCCGGGAGCCCGCCCCGCGCCGCAGCTGCACCGGCCCGCGGGGGCGCGGCGCGGAGCCGGGAACCCGCACCCCGCCCGACCCCGCAGCTGCAGCGGCCCCGTCCCCGCGCCCGGGCCTCCCGCAGCTGCGCCGCCCCCCGCCGCCCCAACAGCTCCAACCACACAAACTAACTCCACTCGCGGGGGCGCCCCCGACCCGGCCCGCCCTCCGCCCGCGCCGCCCAGCCGGCCGGGGCCGCACAGCTGGCGCCCCCCGCCCGCCGGGGTGCCGGGGCGCGGAGGGGGCGCCAGGTCAGGGGCCAGGGGCCGGCGCCGGGACTCACACGGAGCGGCCCTAAGTCACCGCGTCCCCGCCGCCGCCGCGTCCTCCGCCTCCTCCTCCTCCTCCTCCCGGCCGCCGCCGCCGCCGCCGGACTTGGTGGGCTTCCTCCGGCTCTTGCCCCCCTCCCTCCCGGCCCCCCCACCCCCCAATCCCGGCTCCGTCGCCCGCTCCCCCCCGCCCCTCCCTCCCGCCCACCCCCGCTGGCAGCCGGAGGAGCGCGGCGGAGCGAAGAGGGCCCCACTCTCAACGGCTCCCCATGGCAGCAGCCCAGCGGCGGCCGCAGCCTGCCAGACACAGCGAGGGAGCGAGCGAGGGAGCGAGCGCGGAGCCGCCGGGCCGGGTGGGGGGGCGGGGGCGGGGGGGGGGCGGGCGCGGGGGAGGGGGAGGGGAGGGGGCGGGAGGACGCACCACGCACGCACGCGGCGGCGCCGGCCAGATGTTCCCCCCACCCTCAGTCCGCCCCTCTCCTTCCCCTGCCTCCCTCCCTCCGGGCGTTGGGCTTCTGCGATTGACCGAAAGCGGCTGGACCGGCGCTCCCCGCCCGCCCCCAGCCCTCAGACTCCTCCAATGGGAAGGCGGCTCTTCGGGAAGGCGGAGGGGGTGGTGGGCAGTCGTCGGACTGACAAGGGGGCCCAGCCAATGGGGGTGGCGAGCCGTAGCTGCCCTCCCGCGCGTTCCAATCGCAGGCAGCAACTGTTGGGGTGGGCGGGGCTCGGGCGGGCGGGGATCCGGAGCGAAGCGGCGCGGGGCGGAGTCCTCGGGCGCAGCGGCGGTGGCAGCAGCGGCGCCCCTCTGGGTGACTTGGCCGTGAGAAAGTGAAAGGAGCCCGCAGGCGGCGGCGACAGCTGCGCTGGGAGGGGCTTGTTTCCAGGCTCAGAGGCCCCGCGCACTCTGCGGGTGCGGAGCGAGCTTTTCGGTGTGCACTGTGACAACCACAAACACACTTTTGAACGTAGTGGGGCTTGGCTGCTGCGAGTTACGCAGGTATCCTGGAGAGGCAGGGCACCCGGGGACACGGATGACTCGAGGCCGACTTCGGGTGGCTCTCTCTGCTCCTTCCTGTGGGGGTGAAGACGCCCGGGTCCTCGCCGGCCCGTGCGCAGGGGAGCGGGACCGAGGAGCGCTCTCGCTCCGTCCTGCGGCGTCCCGCGCCCAGGTGCACATCGGGGAGCTGGGGACGCAGGCGACTCAGGCAGTTTCTGGGAGTCGTTCTTACGTCATCATGTCACGGGCAGAACAGGGCAGAGCGCCCGCCTTTCTCGCAAAACCCTCCTGTCCCTTGTGTACTTACACTGTTACAAGTAAAGACTTCCCCAAGTGACCAAATTTTAGAGCATTACAGTAAAATTGGTACTTGCAGATGCCTCAGCTTGATTCCTTAATTGATACGTATCTAGCCACAACTTTAAACTACCGAGGGACGATGTAAGACTGCTGTGTCGCTTTTCTTTCCTTCAAATAAACTTTTACTCGGTACCTGTTCTTGGCAATTAGACTGCGTTAATCACAGCCACAAAGACGTGGAAATGTCTGCCGTCAAGAAATTGGAAATCGTATCGAGGCAAGAATTACAAGTAAAAAGTTGAATAACAAGTGGTGGGGGAGGGGGAATGGCTGAAGAAAATAAAATAGAAAAAAAAAAACAACTTCATAGTGAGGAAGTCAGTCCACTAGTCATTGTCTAATGAAATGTGTTTATTCTTTGCTAACAGAACCCAGACTGGCAAGCCTGTTGCTAACCAACCTGCCAGGAGACCTTTCAACTGGGCAAAATGTGCTTTCACTTTGTTCCAGGTCAAATGGGTAAAGTAGCTGGAAAGTATTGTGTGGGCAAATCAGACATGTTGAATTGCTAATGAAGTAAAAACAGGAGCAGACAGAATTCCTGGAACTGAAATAGCTTCGAGATATCTGGTTAGAAACAGTAGTGATGTGCCTACTTTTTTCTCAACCCTCTACGCCCTCATGATTCATCACTGAGGTCAAGGATATCCTATGAAAATTGGAGTTTTTGTATTCCATGAAGGCTTTTGTTGTATCTGTGCTGTCGATGAATTCTAGGTCTTTTCAGTCTAGTGGTAGAAGGCCCAATTTCAGTCTGACCTGTTTCAAGGTAAGGAATAAATGTTATTCACGAATGAAATATACAGGCACACAAAATGAGATGTGAAAAGTATATGTTTCACCAACTAATTCAGGGAAAAAGAAATGTTTGCGTTATCAAAGCTGTTTCTCATCTACTAAAAGTTAAAATTAAGGAGAGTGACAGATCTCTACATGAGTAGACAGAAAGTAATTGATAGTGTCAGGATATTAATTCATGAAAATATTAGTACACTCGGATTATCTACAAAAAGCTTAGAAACTCAGCTGTACTGCATCTAAAGCCAAGGCATAGCTCTAACAAAATGTTTTATAGAATGTACCTGCAAGTAGAGTAACAGCCCCAAAGATATGGAGGAGACATTGATACATCAAAAATTGTAACCTGTGTGTGTATGTGTGTGTGTGTGTATTGTGTTTCCCTTACAGTCATTACTAGAATCCATTTTGGGAACTGAGCAGTGTGGCCAGGAAATATAGATTAAATGGATATTTAAGGAAGCAAATCTGTTGCCCCTCAGTTGCTACAACCATTTTATCCAGAGTCCCCTAGTGTGACTGTCTTTTATGCCCTTTTTTTCACATTTAAATAAATTGTTTTTACTCTCTTGTCTTAAACTGTTTTATAAACTTATCGTACAGATGATACTTTCAATCCTTTGGAAAGTTATCACCATGAAAATTGTGAGTAAAAGTAGGCTGATATCGGAGGAGTCATAATACAGAATGAGTAGTATTTTTATTTAATACCCATTGGAACCCTGGAAGGTAATAAGTCAAAGTCTGAATATCCGCCTCAAGTAAGCACCTCAAAGTAGGGTGTTTACCACTATATAACAGGCTGAGCAAATTACCAAGACACACAGCTACTTGACACCTGTCGAGTTTGTCGGTTTTTTTGTTTGTTTTTTAGCTAATAATCTATACTTCTCCCCAGCCCCCCATAGTGGGGGAGAAAAGGGCAAAAAGTATACATTCTAAGCTCTTGGGAAAAGATACCATACTTTCTTTCTGGAGGAATCCAGTCCTGTATAGTTCTAGTTAATCCATACTTTTCTAGGTGTCCTGAAATTAAAAGTGATACAAATGAATCTTTCTTGCCAGGGAACAAGTTTTATGTGCTAATAACATATTCATTTCAACTAATAACAATGTAATAGTATAAAATGTTGATGGATCAAATAAAATTTAATTTGATGAGCAACTCCATAAAATGAATGTCTGACCTTTAAGTGTGAACCACAGCTCAAATCTCTGAAAAACCTCAGTGTTTTTATTACACTTTATGCAATAGGTCATATTGAAAAAGTTATCTTGGAAACTAGTTTTTGGATATTGATATTTTATAAATGTATTAATTTCCTACAGGAATGGAATGTTTCTTTAAAAATTAGGGAGGCAAGCAACAGTAAAATACTAGGTGTTTGAAGGTATTATATTGATAATATAATAACTATAAAATCTAACAAAACGTAAGTAGAGGTCAACCTGATTTTGAACCTAGAGAGAAAAAATACACTAAACTGGGAAGTGTGTTCAAGCTTCTATGAAGCCCACTCACTTTCAATATTAGAGCATACATGGAACTCTATGAACTTACTTAGTTTTTTTTCTCTCTGTCTCATCTCTCTTCTGGCATTTAGAAATGAACAGGTTGATATGCTCTAAAGGGAAAAGGAAACACTGAAACACAGTTGAGACAGTGATTTAAAAAAAAGTAAATGAACAAACCAGAACACACATCACAACACATTAAGGAGAGTGACAGATCTCTACATGAGTAGACAGAAAGTAATTGATAGTGTCAGGATATTAAACAATTCATGAAAATATTAGTACACTCGGATTATCTACAAAAAGCTTAGAAACTCAGCTGTACTGCATCTAAAGCCAAGGCATAGCTCTAACAAAATGTTTTATAGAATGTACCTGCAAGTAGAGTAACAGCCCCAAAGATATGGAGGAGACATTGATACATCAAAAACTGTAACCTGTGTGTTTTTTTTACAGACAGAATGAAGTGAACAGGGAGCATATTTTATATAGCATCATTCTTAAAATACATATTTTACGTATTTATAATTCTCTATAATACAGTCTAATCTTATCTGTAAAATATATTTATAATTCTGCAAAGCACTTTCTATGTCAAATCATTCCCTGGGTTATAAATTCTGTGATACTTGAATCTATTAAATTCCTAAACTATGGTAAGCCCTAAATTGGAGATAATTCAGCCTGATTCTCAGCCCTGAAGATAGAAATAATGTCATAAACTCTTGAGAAGTCCTTAGCAGATTTGCAGCAGGCATTGGTGGTATGCCAATGAAAGCAGAATGAACCTACACCAGTGATTCAAACCTGCTGAGGCTTAAGGGCAGAGGGGAGCAAAGGATAGTCTCCCTAAAACTCTTTTTCCTGTGTAGCCAGTGTTTTGTTGCTTACTGTAAATCAGTGCTTTTACAGACAGCATAATGGCTGAAGGAGGCCAATACTTCTGGCTTGGTTGGGACTAAGACAGGCCACTTCAGAGAATTTAGGAAAAAAGCAAAGAGGTGTTTCAGTAGCCACCCAACTCACAACCCTCTTCTCATTCTCTCTCCCCCCTCTATCTCCTCCAGTCTCCCCATAAAATACATTATACGTTACAGCATATGGAAGAAAAAAATGCACACAATGATGGCTTTTCTTGTTAACTTTGTACTATAAATATATTCATCATTCACTTTGTATATAATCCCAGGCCACTTTTGAACCCCAGGCTGGCTGGCTTCCTTGCTACACAGGATGCCTTTGTATCATTCACTGGTGGGAGTTTAATCAGTTAAAAATTATTTAAAGGCTATCCTAAACAAAACAAATTTCTAAAGGCAAGTCTACCATCCTTAAGAATCACATGCCTTCAAATACCAGATGTTGGAGTTAATCTGTGGGGTTGAAGGCTGCATTACTTTGGATAATTAAAAGATACACTCGTTTCATCTGTGGGCTTTTTAAGATTTACCATTTAAAATAACCCAACTAAACATGTGACTTCCAGATGAGTAAATTCTACTAAAGAAAGATTTAATATGAACCTATGATATTCAGAACCCCTTCTTCAATGATGGAAGTCTTCAGGGGTATCAATTGTGCTAAAATGTTGTACAATATTAGTAAATAGAAGTTGTTTTATTCAAAATGAGAGGATAAGACTTCTAAATATTTGAATGCTAATATTCTCACTTGTATTACATTGCTTAAATTGGAGTTTGTAGAAATTCGGGTTGCAAATGAACTTAGAAAAGTTGAAATGAACAGAACAAGAGAGGTTACCAGGTAATATTGATGCCTCACACCTACTGTGTGTTAGCTGCTGTGCTTCGGACGCAAAGATACAAATAGCGTCTGTCTGTCTGTCTGCATTCTCCTCCAGGGAGAGATTTTTCCTTTCCTTTTGTGCTTGCTTCACTCTTGAATGCAGCACCTTCTTGGATTTAAACAAGCAGAAAGGAAAATGATACATCTAGAAATTATTTACTAAGAACTTAGTATATGTTAGAGAAACACGAAACTGCATTATCATGGTTCTTGTTAAGTTTCCACCATGTGCTGGGTGCCAACAATACATGAAATAATATCATTCCCTCTTATATCTTCATTATGTATATATAAATGTCATTGTGAATCCACTGGACAAAGATGAGATTTCATTTTTCTTTCAGAGACTAATATGTTGCTGATGCCTAATAAGTGTTTACCAATCTTAACTACTGTAACAAGATAAAATTGTCTTAATACAACTCTTTGGTTATAAAGAAATTCTATAAATTTAACACAAAAGTCTTGATACATACCAAATTCAAACTATTCCCGGTAATAAGAGCAGACAGAAGGTTAAATTTCACTCCAGAAATTTACTTCGCCCTTAGCAATAACATGCAACTCAGGAAGTTACTTCTCTTACAAAGAACTAGCATTTATGCCTAAGACTAAAATGATTATTTTTAAAGTACCCATTTTACAATGCAAATGTGTATCTAAATTAAACTCAGTAAAAATAAGCATTTTAAATTGAAGCTGCAGTAATAGCTTTATGGGAGACAATAGGAAAAGTGGTTCTTGAATATGAACTCAGAGAACACACATTTCACATTCCTTCTAGGGGCCTTGAAGCTTTCTTTGTTCTCTGTCTCTGTACATAAATGTCACATGTTTTAACTGAAAACCCATTGCTCTGAAGTAACTTTACACAACTGAGGCTGTTCAGCAAGGTCATGGCAAAAAAAAAAAGTTTGGGTTCAGAAAAAGAAATTGGACTCACAACTGGTGTACAATGCCACGCCGTACCTTAGCACTTGGGATATGGGACAGATGCAGGAACACAGGCTCACTAAAACAGACAGTGACAAGAGACTGCATAACAAAGACACATGCACAATAGGGCATTTTAGAGACAAATGACAGACAGAGTAGAGCAATATATGGGACAACAGCTTTACAGGGATGGGAGGGCTGTAAAGAATGGTGAGAAGATGGTGACAGTGTAGAAGAAGGATAACGGAAGAGAGGTAAAGAGAAGGAAAGATCCCACTGGGAAGTGGTCTATGGTAGAGGCCATGGTGGTGGCAATGGTGCTGGCAGAGTTGGTGGTGGCAGCAGCAAGGTAAATAAAGCAGAGATGTGAATACTTCTTCCTGGGCTCTGCTGATGTATGCCACTATTTTTTGTCTTGCAAATTATTCTTAAATAATACTTCATGAAATAGCTGGCCCCAAAGTAAAGAAGACTAGAATATACTCAGTTGATTTTGCCAAGAGAGCACTTGATAAAAGAATAAAGAATTTTAAAAAAATAATGTAGACTATACTCAGTATTTAACTCTTTCCAGACATGAGGTTGCTACGATCAGGGCAAGGCGTGTGTGTGTGTGTGTGTGTGTGTGTGTGTACTCACATGCACACTCATATACCTAAGTTACTAGTTTGGCTGGTTTTTCTGGTAAGATTGGCTTAATATGAACTAGATTTTTCTTAATAGAGATAAGAATTTCATAGCACATTCATTGCGTAGTTTTAGGTTGACCTTATAGGGAAATTGTAGGTATGTATTGACATTTCATTGAGTAATTTGAACTATTTGTTAACCTAACTAATCACATTTCAGAAATAAATTCATTCCTTCAACAGCCACTGAATCCCTATCATGCATCAGGCCTGGTTGGAATTACATCAGCCTCTGTACAAAACATCTGGCCTGGCTCATAACCAGATGCACGAACTAGCATTGGAAGGAAACACTCTTGAACTACTTTGATAAAGTGAACCAGGAAAATTCCCATTATCAAAGATACCCACCTATTTTTTGTTTCCTATCTTCCTTGGTGGGATGTAAGCTTCCTCAGGATGGGGACTCTTCTATGATAATAGCTGTATCCTTAGCACCTAGAATGGTGCTTGGCACATAATACGCATTCAAGAAATAGTCTAGAAAGGGAGGGAGGGAGAGAACAGAAGGAAAGAAGGGAGAGGGCAGAAGAGAAGGAAAAGAAAGGGGAAGGCGGGGAAAAGGGAAGGGAGATAATGAAAAGAAATAACTTACACCTTTGCATTTTTCCAAGGCCAGCGGGATTAGCAATGCTTTACATGTTCAACTGCTCCCTTTAAACTTGGGATGAAGGACAGCTTATTATGTAGACTACCAGAAAAGCATCTATTTACTTTTTGGGGGTGCACTCTGACCCAACCTAGAAATATCCCAGATGGATGTGGTAGAGACTTTACTCCTGGGAGAAGCATAGCGATTCTTTAGGATATAGAAGAGATGTTTCATCCTTGAGGCATTTTAGAGGTGAGTTATTCCTCAAACATCGCTTATAGGCATAAGATGTGTTGTTATTTTCATTACTTGGAGGAGAATGTTGAAATGGAATGGCTAAGTGACTTGTCCAAGGCCCCAAATTAAGATTGGTGAGTTGCAGAGCTAGTTCATCAACAATTCACTAAGTCATTTTTCTTCAGATATTTAGGCCACTCTGAAATCAAAAGAAAAAACTCCATTGTTTTTAAACAAATTAGAATCTGCCATGCTTTGAAAACACATAGTCATTTGGGTGTTTATCCTTGAGGATACATCCATGATCTCAATCGAACCACATAAACAAGCTAAAAATATAATGAAAGGAATTATTCCTGACTTTTCAAGTGTAGCTTCAACTACAGACATATGCTATTGGTGGATATAAACGAAGATACCTCCAAGCAAGAAATGTTTTCCCTTTCTGTAGGTCCTATTAAGACAGTAGGGTCCTAGTAGCAGTAAATTTGGTGCAGAGGAACTGATAAAATTATATATTTGGGTGCATCCGGTGACTATGAGAGAGAAAAGATTATATTTTCATTTGCATGGTTTGCTGGGTTTTATTTGGCAGATATAATAACACAGGCTACGCAGAACCCATAAAACAAAGTGAGAACAGCAGCTCATTTGGTGGCAGAATGTAATGGTTGTAGCTAAAGGGCTTACATAATTCATCTCAAACCCTTATGCCTTTATTTATTGTTGTTTAAATGAAAATTAAACTCTTACGGCCATAAGGAGGGATCTGGTCAGACATTTGATTGAGATCCCTTCTTCTTACATAGCTTCTGAGATGATCAGTCTGTGACATTTACAAACAGCTACAGAAATATTCTAGAATGAACATACTTTACCTAAGCATGCTAGGATGTCATTCTTCAAATCCTGCTTTCCTAAACAACTCTAAAACTCCCACAGAATGAGAGTGAGTGGAGAGGGAGGCCCTGTTTGTCATTCTGCCTTGGAATTTCTAGTTCAACTCAGGGCAGTTGTAGGCTATGGTTAAGAGTTAATGTTTAGTATCAGATAATATTTGGTATAATACTTTAGCAGGAGGTGGGGACTAGAGGAACAACACAAAGGAAGGACTGAGGCATGTGATATTGGCCCAGACCACTTCACACAAGTATAATGTCTTTTAGTATTATTTAAAGTATTCATATTATATCATATTGTTAAAAGAATATTTTTAAGGTCATGTTTTTTTATCACTTTATTCTTATGTTAGAAGAGTGGAAATTTTGACTGTCAACTGTGCATACTCTATGGATTTTGCTATTTGGGGGGAGGAATTTTTTTTTTTTTTAGAGACTCAGACTTGAAATATAGTTTGTTAAAGAGAAATCTGTACTGTATTATTAAATGTACATCTGGATAAGTTTTAAAATATCAATGATTATCACACCAATTTAGAGAAAATGGAATGATGTGGCTTAAAACAGGTGTGTAAAATATCATTACATTTTTATTTTCTGCAGATCTCATGGAGGTAACTAACAGATATAATATTAATATATAAACATATAATGTTAATTAAAGTTAATATTAATGCTAGATACAAAAGTTTAGTATTATGGGGCTATTGGAATATTTGGAATTAAATTAGTCTTAAAAGTGATAAATTAACTCTTAATCATTTTTTTAAATGACCAACATACCCTCTCTATACAAGTTAAATAGGTATGAAAATAAATAAATACATATGCCCTAAATTTTATCCGCCATGAGCAAATACACATGTGGCTATTTTGGAAACTGGGTTATCTCTTTTGATTTTAGAACTTCTTCATTATTTTTAGGTAAGTCAATATGGATATTAAAGTGATTAGCTCAAACTTTCCAAATTTGAAAATTTTATGCCATTCAGGCTATTACTGTATACATACATGAACCAATTTTGGAAGGAAAGAGAAATACAACAAGAAAGTTATTTTAAACCATAATTTAATGCAAGTAAATAACTCATTTTCTAAATAATGAGATAATTGACAGAATTCATTCTGCTTTGGTAGTAAGCCCAAGCAGTTTGTGTGCATGAAAAAGAGAGAGAGAAAGCATGAGAAAGAGAGAAAGAGGAAGCAAAGCTTTAATTGTATATTCCTCAAGTTTAATAGGAATAAACTATGAGCAAAAAAAAATCAAGGAACATTAAAAATCAAATAGACTACTATACATTTCCACTTGAAACAAAAATGTTCTTTTCATATATGATAGTCTTGCATATTTACTCTGCTCAGGGAGATGTTTCTTAGCTAGCTCATATTCATCTTTCAATCAGCTGGTTTGATGGCCTTCCACAGGCTGCAGGGAAGATCTGACAAGTGGAAAGAAAAAAAGGCAAGCAAACCCTGATGAAGAGAATTTCAGAAAGAAAGAAAAGAAAAGATCCAAAGGGTTGGGGGGAAGAATGGAAGAAACCAAATAAAATTAGACAATGTTTTAGAAATAAAACAATTATACTAGTTTTCAGTTAGTTCATTTTCCCCCATGCATATTTTGTTTAACTGGAAATGTGTTCTATTATTTTAACTTTTTAAAAAATCTGCCTTCACTAAACTAAAAGCAAGGGACCTAATACGTGATAAAGATGAATATTCAGTAGCTAAAATCTTGATAGCCAAAGGAGGCTGTGCTACTGGCTGTCCCTCCACGAAGAAGTCTGTGGACTTCTGAAGCAAGAGAGTACCAAGAGAACAAATATTTGTTTTCTTTCAAAGACAATCCAGCATGAGGAAGCATCGCTTTCAGAATCGCCTATTATCTTATCAAGGCAACTAGATGTTAGTTTGGTCAGAGTGAATATCCAGCTTCTATTATGCTGAATGAGAGAATGGAATGATTTCTGTTTCACCCCCACCTTCAAGCCACATATCTCCAAAGCTCACCTCCAGCCCAAATGTTTTTCTTTATGCTTTTTACTTCTGAGTTCTTAAAGCGTGTTATTACTATTATTTATTTTTAGTGTTGCAATCTCCAGCAGTCCTTATTTTCACTCAAAATTACAATACAGGGGACTATGGCCAATGCTATGCAGATGGCCAAATAGATAATAAAGACTCAGTTCATGAATAATATCCACTCAGAAAGAGGACAAAAGCAACAGGAAAAAAGAGCCCAAATTGGACAAAATGTGCGTGCTATATTTAAAAAAAAACACACGCGATCATTGTCAGAGATCATTAAGGGTGCCCTGTAGTTTTAATTATATGCCAGTGGCACCAATTTGATGTGACTGTTTGCTCTTATAGTCAATAAAAAAAGTCATAACTGCCATCAAATTTAAATTTAATTTATTTTCTACACAGCCTTTTCTGTTTTCCTTGTTTTTTTTTCTTTTATAACATGAACACTTTTTTGTTAAAAAATGTGTGAAAGATTAATTTGTAGAATGAGGGTGCACAGCACAGGACAGATGGAGCGGGTGGGACATGACAGTTTTCGTCTGTGGCATCATTTTGTTGTTGCTATTGCAAGTGAGCAAAATAAAGCTACTGCTACCGCGATCATTTTTTGGGGGGCCCCTCAGAGAAGGTGTGTGGCTTTTCCCTCTTGCTGGGCCCTGCTGTTTGGGGACGCAGCCACCCTCTACCCTCCACAGCCAGCCGACTTATGAACAGTGTTCATAAGCCCGAGAGCACTTTAATTGTAAAATTGCATTTCTATACAATTGCACCCGACTTTTGTATAAAGCAGAATGAAACACACTTTTTCTTGGTAAGCTGACTGTGTTGAAATGAATTAATGATCTATTCTCTCTGAGATCCTGTAATGTAAACCCAAACGCATGAAACTCTAGATGCAGAAAAGAATTAATTTTTTTTTTTGGCACAAGACAAACATTCTCACATTCAAGGGGATTTTTTTTTAATTTATCAAAAATGACGACGTGCAAGTTTCAATTTTTTGCTTTGGAACAGCCCTAATTTACACATAAGTATTGTAGGAGTTTGCTATTGTAAAGGTTCTTATTGAAGAATAAAGCAATTACCACAGAAAATCACTGTCATATGGCACACACAGACATTCCGAGAAAAAGTAAAACTTTGAGAAGAAGGAAAAGGGGAATTCAGGACAGCATGTGGGAGGGAAGATGGGAGTTCTTTTTATGCACAAAGAGATCCATTAACAATATCTTTATCAGTTTCCTTCTTCCTTGTTAACTGAACCAACTTCCAGTGCCCAGAATATGCGAACGTGATTGCAAATAAATGACTGGGGTGGCAGGGGGATGAGTGAGTGCACATGAAGAGGGTTGGTGGTTAATTCATGGCAAGACACGATTTGCCTGAAAACAAAACCCAAAAAACCTTTGCCTCAAACTAGTTCAGCTTTTATAGTGAGGCAAGGTGGTCTGCAACAATATGTCAGCAGCCACGAATCCCCCACGATTCTTAATTCTCCTACAGTCACGAGGCCGCCTCGGCCTGGACATCAGTGGTTTCTTGTGGATAGGGTATTTGGTATTCCAGTCATTTTATATGATAACGTTATTTTCCGAATTAGACTGTAGGCCTTCCCAGGGAGGGATTGTGTCTCCGAGCAGAGCACGCTGTATAAAGCGGTGCTCCCCAAACGTGCGTTGTTTGGCAAAGCGGCTCTGTGGGGACCCTGGATACCGATCATCAGGGCCATGCTGATGATTCGAATCATGGCATCGTGATTCGAATCATGGGCTTTGGGGGCAGACCATGTGCAGTTGGCGTCAGGTTGCCCCTCGCTATGTAGCTGTACTTTAACTTAGGCAAGCCTTAGTTTGCACTTCCGTAAAAACAGGCATGACGATGATAGCATGCTCTTTAATTATAGGGTTAGTGGGAAATTAAGAGATAGTCCTTTGTGAAGCGTTTAGACAGTGTAAAATGTAAACCATTTAGCCCTAGTTTTCTAGAGGTCACTTTTTGGATGCTTCCAACACCTGATCGCTGAATGTACTGAAAATCCTAAATCTTTGGTATGAAACGTTCCTTATTCTGTTATATTAGGGGGGTAGTAGCATGGACAAATACAATGTTGGAGTGTACCCAGATAGGTGGGTGGGGAATGAGGGAGAAGGATAGATACGATTTTAAAACAAAATAATATAATATTACATGGGGGTGGGGCATGGTCCTTGATGTCATAGAAAATAGGGAGGAAATTTGGTGTATGTATTATGTGCCTGTGAAATAGAGTACACAGGAAACATGATAAAGAAAGGTATCTACCACACATCCAATGTAAAGAGAGTTATCTGTTTTATATTTATTCTAACAGAATGTCTCCACAATTCTATAAAGTAGGAGGCACTATAGAAATGGAAGGTATTAGCAAGTTCTTGCGATTCGCTCAAACACATGCACTGACATAAACAGACTCAGAATAGGGAATATCCATCTCTAAGTCCAATGCGATGAGCACAATACTTGCCGTGCTTACATTGAAACAATAGCAGAGCGTGTTATACTGACACATGCATGTAATTACTTACAGCCATGAATCACTTAATGACAGGTATACGTGCTGAGAAATGCATCGTTAGGCAATTTTGTCATCGTGTAAACAACATAGACTGCACTCACACAGACCTAGATGCGATAACCTACTACACACCTAGGCTATAAGGTGTAGTAGCCTGTTGCTCCTAGACTAAAAATCTGTGCAGCTTGTTACTACGCTGAATAGCGTAAGCAATTGTAACACAATGGTAAGTGTCTGTGTTTCTAAACATAAAAAAAAGTACAGTAAAAATAAGGAATAAAAGATATAAAATGGCGCACCAGTATAGGAGACGTACCATGAATGGAGCTTGCAGGACTGGAAGTTGCTCTGGGTGAGTCAGTGGGTGAGGGCAGGTCAATGCGAAGGCCTAGAACGTCACTGTCCACTACTGTAGACCTTCTGTGAACATGGTACGTACACTTAGGCTACACTAAATTTATTTAAAAATTTTTTTTCACTAGTAAATTAACCTTAGCTTACAGTCACTTTTTTACTTTGTAAACTTTTCAATTTTTTAAAAACTTTTTGTCTCTTTTGGGATAACACTTAGCTTAAAACATAAACATATTTATTGTACAGCTGTACAAAAAATATTTCTATCCATATTCTATGAGCTTTTTTCTATTTTTAAAATTCGTTTTTTACTTTTTAAACTTTTTTGTGAAACGCTGAGATGCAAAGACACACATTAACCTAGGTCTACACAGGGTCAGGATCATCCATGTCACATCATCTTTCACTGGAAGGTCTTCGGGGCAGTAACACACGTGGAGCTGTCATCTCCTGTGATAACGGTGCCTTCTTCTAGAACACCTACTGAAGGACTGACCTGAGGCTGTTTTGCAGTTAACTTTTTTTTAAAAAAATAAGTAGAAGGAGTACACTCTAAAATATAATAATAAAAGTATAGTGTAGTAAAAACATAAATCAATGACATCGTTGTTTAGTATCATTATCAAGTATTATTTATTGTACATAAATGCATGTACTGTACTTTTATACAACTGATAGCACAGGTAGGTTTGTTTATACCGACATCACTGGAAAAATGTGTAATGCATTGTGCTATGATGGTACAATGGCTGTGTCACTAAGTGATAGGAAGTTTTTAGCTCATAATCCTATGGGACCATCATATTTGCAGTTCATTGGTGACCAAAACATCATTAGGTGGCACATGACTGTATTTCTATGCATGCTGATACACAAAATGTAAAGTATCCTTATTTTTCTTTTGCCATCAGGTAAAGTTACATTTATGCCCAAAACACTGGAGAATAGTTAATTCACTGACTACAGAGGAATTCTGATGGGCTAAGACTAGGGTGAAAATGGCAAGCTCTATATGTTACATATGTTTAAGTGTAAACAAAGAAGTGTATACATGAACACATGTGTGTGTCTAAAATTGCATTTTGTATACGCTAATTTTTCCCTCACAGTAGGAAGCTTGCAGTTATTAACTGTAGCAAAGTCTTCTGGTCCCCTACCCCAATAGCTGTTCTCCCCTTCTTCTTTAGTGACAAAACTCTCAAGTACATGACTGCCCCCAAGTAAAGCTTTCCCAGCTTTCTTTGCAGCTAGATAGCTCCCTATGACAAATTCTGGACAATGAAATGCACGTGGAAGTGTTTTGTGCAGTTTACAGGAAGCTTCCTTAAAAGACCATGAATATGCCTTTTGACCCTTTCTTCTTGGTTGCTTTCTATTGTCTGGAATATGGACGTGATGGCTGGAGCTTGGGCTGACATGATGGACCACAAGGATGAGAGCCACATTATAAGGAGGCTGGAGAGGAGAGCTGGAGGAAGTTTCTTAATTTAATGACTTCCTAAAATTACCATACCAGCCCAGGACTGCATCCTTCCCAACTTCGTTTCCATAATAAATAAATCAAGGTTGGTGGAGATATACATTGGTGCAGCCATTATGGAAAACTGTATGGCAGGGTGGGGGGGTTCCTAAAAAAATTAAAATAACACTAATATATGATCCAGCACTCCTATTCCTGGGTTACATCTAAAGGAAATGAAGTCAGTATGTTGAAGAGATATCTGCACTCTCATATTCATTGCAGCACTATTCACAATAGTCCGGGTATGGAATCAATCTAAGTGTCCATCGACAGGTGAATAGATAAGGAAAACATGGTATATGTACAACGGAATACTAGTCAGCGTTTAAAAAGGAGATCCTGTCATTTGTGACATGGATGAACTGAAAGGCTGTCATGCTAAGTGAAATAAGGCAGACACAGAAAGACAGATGCTGCGTGATCTCACTTATATGTGGACTCTAAAAAGTTGAACTCATAGAAGCAGAGAATGGAATGGCAGTTACCAGGGGTGAGGAGAATGAGGAGATGCTGATCAAAGGGCAGAAAGGTTTATTTCTGAGGATAGACTAGCCCAATGTGTTCTGGTTGGCGGGGAGAAGAATGTGGGACCCTCTTCCATGCAATTATTCAGAGACCAATCTTTTTCCATCTCGGCCACCGGAGACTCCAATCATCTTCCATATATGGCCTCCCAAGTCCCCACAGAATAGAAATAGATATCACATAGGATTATACAAGGAGATTTAACATGGTCCATGCCTAGGGTGGCATTTGACGCTTCTACCAACAAGCTATTGGCCAGAACTCTGTTGTATGGCCCAAAATTAACTGCAAGAGAGTCTGAGAAATTTAGTCTAGCTGTATTCCCAGAAAGAACAAACAAGAGCATAGCCTTCTCTTACCTAGTAAATAAACAGAAAATATAGTTTCCAATATCCCTGTTTTAAATTTATTTTCTAAAGGCCCACTTAACAAGGTCCACATGCTCAAGGATACAACTCACTATGTCACAAAATCGTCTTCTTATGTCATCTTAATATTGAAGCATCTAAGACTCAGACATTTCTAATAATGGAAGATGAGCCTCCAGAAATGGTGTGGCTTTGATCTCAAGCCCTGGCCAGCTACTGTTCTTCTTATTCCTACTGTTGCCCTTCTTCCTTGTTTGTGTGCTTTCCCATGATGAGGCATAATTTTTGAACATCTATAGAGGACGTTAAGGAAAGCTTCCATAGGGCTTTATATCCCAGCACTTTGGGAGGCTGAGGCGGCTGGATCATGAGGTCAGGAGATTGAGTCCATCCTGGCTAACATGGTGAAACCCCGTCTCTACTAAAAATACAAAAAATTAGCCGGGCGTGGTGGCGGGCGCCTGTAGTTCCAGCTACTCGGGAGGCTGAGGCAGGAGAATGGCGTGAACCCGGGAGGCGGAGCTTGCAGTCAGCCGTGATTGCGCCACTGCACTCCAGCCTGGGTGACAGAGTGAGACTCCGTCTCAAAAAAAAAAAAAAAAAAAAAAAAAAAAAGAGGCAGGGCATGGTGGCTCACGCTCATAATTTCTCTATTCAGAGTTCAGCATCATTGTCAAGTATTATTTGGGAGGCTGAGGCAGGAGGATCACTTGAGGCTAAGAGTTTGAGACCAGCCTGGGCAACATAGCAAGACCCCATCTCTACAAAAAATTTTTTTAAAAAATTAATTAGCCGGGCATAGTGGTGCACACTTGAGGTCCCAGCTACTTGGGAGGCTGATACAGGAGCATCACTTGAGCCTGGGAGATACAGGCTGCAGTGAGTGCTGATTGCACCACTGCACTACAGTCTGGGAGACAGAGCAAGACCCTGTCTCAAAAAAAAATTCACTTAACTTGTAGTCTGGGAGCATATTGCTAGAGATAACAATGGATCATTGAGGCAGATAGAGCTTTTTCATTTCCTTTTATACTACTGTTGTGTATTTTATAGGCTATTGTTATAAAAAGCTACCTGATACTTGGGCAAAATAAGATCATTTAGGGTATTTTTTTTAACAGGGTGAGACACTTCAAAAACAGACAGTCAGACAGACAGATATATAGATAGAATTCTATTTTCCTCCAAAAAATCAATCACGATGGTTTTATTGAACCAACGTTTCCCACAAATTCTGGACAATTACCAAAGACAATCCATTTCAGGAAACATGATTGAGATAAAAATGATAGATGCAAAAGGAATAATGTTTAAAATTCCATTTCGGCTTAATAATGAGTTTGTGGCCTGCATCATAAGGCAAGTTATTATCCATCACATTTTATCATGAGACTCTTTCTTGCATTTTTATAAAAATTTTACAGCCTCTATTTTCAGAACTGTCCAGAAGATGTTGTTACTGTTCACTGTTGTTTCCTTTGATGGTTTGATTTTTGAAGTTCAGCTTTTTTTCAGAGTTTTGAGGCATATGATAGGCAGAAGGTAAATTTTAGGAGATTTGTCTATTTCTTAGGGGGAAAATGAAGCAAGATTTAACTCTTTGGCTTGTTCACTGGAAATACAAAAATGAATTTAAAATTTTTCTATTAACTAAAATCTGAAGTATTGATGTTTATTTAGGGTACAAGAGGAAATTGTACAAAAATACTTTTCTAAAACCAGGAAACAATTTGAAGTTAAAAATGAAAAGACTTTTGATTTGTTTTTGGTATGTTTCAAGGAAGCCCCATTTGGGGGTTATTTGGGTTTAGAATAACTGGGGTCACATGTCTAACAGTCCTGGCACGTAGCAGGCACTGAAATAGTTTTTGAACCACGAATGTGAATGACGAGGACCCCGCAGGACTGGGAGAAGAAGATCACCAAGAGGGAGACTTGAGAGGCGGGGCGTGGTCTTCGTTTCTGGTAAAGAATGAGAGGTTGCCTGAGAATGCCTAGCCCTGCAGCCCACAGGGAGCCCTAGCATCTCTAAAGAGATGTAGAGGATAAAGTTCCTAACATGTAATTATTCCACTCTCGTCTACCATAAGGAAATCACCAAGTATCTGCCAGAGGTTTGTGGCTTAGAGAAGGAGGAGGGATTGCTCAGCTGCCTGACCGTGGCTCTGAGCTGTAGGAAAACCATCAGGAATTCTTCAGCCCTCCTGTGCCTTCTGGTATGGAGCCAGAACTAGACTAATCCCTTCTTTCCCCCAAATCTTTCTCCATGTGTCCAGGCTTGTAGATCTGACCACGGGCCTCGGTCACTAATTCACGACCTTTAATGCTCATCAGAATCGCCTGGGGGCTTTTCCCACAATACTGGTACCAGGGTCCCACCTCAGACTTACTGAACCCAAATCTCCAAGGATAGGGTCTTGGCATGGGATCCGAGGATATGTGCCTTTTAAAGCCTCCCTGTTGAAGCCGTTGCTCGTCAAAGATCAAGAAACCCTGGCCTGGCTTACCTCTGCAGTTGAACGAAGCATATTGTTACTTGGGGCTTTGAATGCAGTTGTCACAGCCTTTGGTCACCAGCTTGATCTGAAAAGACTAAATTCATGTCCTCAGTCACCGGTGACTGTGTGATCATGAGTGAAATGCTTAACCTCACTGCAGTCTCTGTCCCCACCCCTAAGATGCAGGGACTAGTCTGGGTATCTTTATAACGTGCCACCGTCTTAAACAACTTATCCAATTCCTAACCATCTGGACTGAGTTTCTGTGAACATATGAACACTCAAAAAAAGAAAGACTGAATAAGTGCAGGTGGACTATTAACAACTACAGAAACCGTAACAGTCTGGATACTCATTTAACACCATTAAAAGAATTAATGCATTCCTTGGTAAATAAGTGGTTAGAGTATGATTAAATATGCCTAATATTTTTTTTCTTTAGAAAACCCAGAAAGTACATCATTTCCAGTTCAGAACAACCTGGTCTATAACCAAAGATACTTTCAAACAAGAGGCCAGTCAATGTCAAAACATTGGATTACAGTTGTGAGACTATCAAATAACTAAAAAATGAGATTATCATTTTTCAGATTCCTTTATTATCTCCAGTGCTCAAGCTACAGACAGAAAGGAAAAAAAAAAAAGACTACTTGGGATGAACATTGTGTGGAATTTTTTATTTAGCCTGCTGTCTTTTTGAAATACCGATTTTCATCTATTCTGAGTCTTTTGATATAGATAAGTTAAACTTGAATGAACAGTCTTTTTGTCTAGCTTGCCTCATCCTAATAACAAGAATGGAGTGTGCTTTTTTCCCCTTCAGTAGTTTATAAATAGTCCTTATAAAACTGCCCATTACCTTTTTATATATGCTAAGCTCATTACTGAAAAATTACACCTCCTCACACCTCCAGGCCTTTCTACGTCTAAATGAAACTCTTTGCACTTAAATGTATATGGCAGGAAAAATCAGCAAATACTAATGTTGAAACCCCAAGGGGGCAGCCTGCACACAGATGAAAATATGACCGTGCACATACACAGTTTTTGTTGCATGACACCAGGCCTTGAGGAGAAAACCAAGCCAACCCCTGCATAAGAGATTTCACAGGGGTAAGTAAAAGAACCCAGGGCTCTGGTATACCCAGATTCAGATGTCAACTCAAAAAAGTCCATAGAAACCCTGACGTTGTTTCAAAGCACAGCGTAAGATTAACAGTGCATAAACCACAGCACACTTTTGTTAAATTCACATTTACTTAATAATACATAGCACCAACTTTGCAGTCAGATGTCGAGGCAGCAGGCAAAACAAGTTATTTTTAGGAGTCTGGCCAAGGACCATTTGCTCATTCATGAGAGTGTGCTCTAAGAAGTCCAAAGCCAAGATATCAAGATAGGCCATTATCCAGGCAAAGGCTGCAGGGCCAAACCGCCTCACAAGGGGAGTGCCATCCGCCACCCAGGGAACCAAAGGAGAGACAATGTGTGGTTAACACAGGCCCATTGCTATTATGAGAAAAATAGCCAGGAGCATAACCACTGATGGTGATCAGGGCATTTGCTATTCAAAGGATGGCTTATTGGTTGGTTTGGCTAAAGACTTGGCCAAGGAATCTAACAGGCAAAATTTATCTGAAGACCAATTTACTTCTTAGGAAAGAGAGTCAGGTAAGGGACCAACTATAGCAGCAATTTCAGCTAACACTGAAATGCACCTTGCTTAGTTCCTACTGCTTTGCTGGCAGTTTCCTAACTGTTACCAGAGCTGCAGAACCACAGCTTCCCATTTCATCAAGATGAATTGCAGCAAATCAGAAGTGATTTGGACACACAGAATGCCTTTTCGATGTGATATACCTAGCATGGGCTGGGAAGGAAGAGCAATAAGAAATACCTTGGGGCCAGGTGTGGTGGCTCACGCCTGTCATCCCAGCACTTTGGGAGGCCGAGGCGGGTGGATTGCCTGAGGTCAGGAGTTCGAGACCAGTCTGGCCAACGTGGTGAAACCCCGTCTCTACTAAAAATACAAAAAAAATAACCAGGCGTGGTGGCATGCACCTGTAATCCCAGCTACTCAGGAGGCTGAGGCAGGAGAATCACTTGAACCAGGGAGGTGGAGATTGCAGTGAGCCAAGATCGCGCCACTGCACACCAGCCTGGGGGATGGAGCAAGACTCCGTCTCAGAAAAAAAAAGAAAAAAAGAAACGCCTTGGGAAGTGAAGGATATAGAATACCTTATTCATTAGCTTAGTTGTTAAGGCTTTGTTGAGCTTTTTTTCACATGCCATGTACTGTGGCAGGCAGGAGGGATATCAAGACGCACAGAACACCGCCCTGCCTTCTAGCACTTCCATGCATCCTGGCATCTATGAATAATAATATTGCAAACAAATACGCCACTCTCACTACAGTTCCTTGAGTTTACCCTAAGAGAAAGGGGTTGGAACCTATTCATTTTTGCATAAATGATTCTCTTTCTGACGAGTGTGACAGTGTTGCCCACCCCACTTTCCCTTAGGTGGAGCCTTGTGACTAATTCTGTCTGATGGACTGTGGACCTGTGAATCCTACAGGTCAGAATCGAAGAGGCAGCGCCCAACGCTCCAGCTGTCTCATCCCTTGCCCAGGCAGTCAAGGAAACCTCCTGCCGAGACGGCAGAGCTGCACCGGTTACAGCATGAAGGGCGGGTGCCAGGGAGGGTCACCCAGCCTGCGGCGGACCTCAGGAGTGAGAAAAGGCACTGAGACGTGGAGGTCGTTTTTCGTTTTGTACTGCAATATAGTGCCTGTTTCATACCATTAATAAATGTCTGTTTTGCCTAGGACTTTTAGAGAAGACAAGAAATCACAGACTCTAGAGATGAAGAGGCTTTATGGATTAATAGACTTACCTAGTGCAGATCAATCTCCCAGTGGAAAGAGATCAACTTCTCCCGCTGTGCTTTTTCCTCTCAATCAGTGTGGCTGTCACAGGGACTGTTCCCAAGGCTCTAAGGTGTTGGAGCTGCTGCCTCCCTCAAGCCCAGCTTCTCTGGACACCCCGATGCCTTCGGGTAGTCCAGCCTCAGCGCATCCCTATCTCTTTTCTTCCTAATTTAGTGGAGGCAAGATTGGGATTTTCCAAGTGAAACTTCATTAGTAAGAAATGAAGATAAAATAAGTACAAATGTATAGAAACAGATGGATTTGCTGAGTATAGATTTCTAATCAAAATGGATTTGATCCTCCTTTTCCATAACATTGGGAAGATATGTTTTGATCGTTGCATCCTGAACGCGTTCAGTTCAAACATACCTAAAACAGAAAGGGGAGTCTGAGGTACCTCATGACTTGGACAGACACTGGCTTTGCTTATCTACCCAAGATTACAACAACATAAGAGACACCATCTTTTCTATGGAACAATCATATTCCCTCTGAACAATACAACTCTTCAATAGCAATATTCTCATTAACAATTAATTTGTGATGTTAGAGCACTTCGTATGTTCCAAGTAACAGCTATAGCATTGTGAACAATAATAGTCATTGCTGTATTTTAAGCCTATTCATGCACAGAAGAGAGTAAGGAAGTTCTTTATAATGTAAATGATTCCCAAGTTCTAGAAATTCAGTTTATCCTTATAAATATGACTCAAGTTCAAATTATTCTATTACAATATATAATTGTTGGGGCAACAAGTTTTTATTTAGTTTTCAATTCTTTAAAAATAGAGAATCTATATTGAATCTTATTTTGAGGTAGAAGTGGCCACAGATGGAAAGTTAATGCTTTCAAGGTACAGTTTAACTCTCTGGAAGGAGTAAATCATATTTATTTCTGGTTCAAAAAAATTAAAGAAACTTTCTCTTATGTGTACCTTTTTTTTCCTTTTTTTTTTTTTTTCTTTGAGAGAGAGTCTCACTCTGTTTCCCAGGCTGGAGTGCAGTGGCATGATCTGGGCTCACTGCAACCTCCACCTCCCGGGTTCCAGTGATTCTTGTGCCTCAGCCTCCCGAGTAACTGGATTACAGGAGTGTACCACCATGCCTGGCTAATTTTTGTATTTTTAGTAGAGGTGGGGTTTCACCATGTTGGCCAGGCTGGTCTCGAACTCCTGGGTTCAAGTGGTCTGCCTGCCTTAGCCTCCCAAAGTGCTGGGATTACAGGTGTGAGCCACCGTGCCCGGCCATGTGTACCATTTTTTTAACCTTCTGTAAACCCAGTGTTTCATAGGGGAGTATGATATAATGATTAAGAGCACAGACTCTGGAGGTAGATTCGTGGATTTTAATTCCTCCTCCACCACTTAAATACCTATGTGACCTTGAGCAAGTTCCTCAACCCTCCTGGGCATCATCTAACCTGTAAAATGAAGATCATAACTGTCCCTGTCTTAAAGAAGTACCTGACATACTGCATGCAATTAAAGTGTTTGTTAAATAGAAATGAATTGCCAGATGCAGTGATGCACACCTGTAGTCCCTGCTGCTCCGAATCTCTTGAACCCAGGAGTTCAAGCCTGCGGTGTGCTATAATTGTGCCTATCAGTAACCACTGCTCTCCAGCCTGGGCAACATTTTCCTCTTAAAAAAAGTAAAAAAATTCATGAACTACCTGGGAAGCCAAACACCAAGAATACAAATACTTTATTCTCCATAATACTCCAAGGTAGAAGGCAGAAAAGAAAACATTCCTAGGCCGACCTCCATAAGAGCGATGGGTACAGGCTGTTTAGGGAACTCAAATTCAGAAGACTCTCAGAGCCTTTGGCTAACTACATGACAGCAAATGACTCAGATATGCCAAAGTTAGAATGAAGATTTTCTAGGGCCAGCAGGATCCACTAGAGCACTGCTAGTGGGAGTAAAGCTCATATTGGCATGCCCAGCTCAGCTGAGCACCAACAGAGCCGTGGCATTGGTAGCACACCCACATTTGCACCTCTGTATTAGGGAATCCAAGAGCTCTGACAATCAAAGAGATTTGTTTGTTTGTTTGTTTTCGTAAGTGAAGAACAAACTCATATGGCATCAAAGCTTGTCCTGAACTGAGATGAGGCTATTTGGAGTCTTTATTTATTTCACTGAGTGAATCTTCGTATGTTTCACTGCAGAAACATCGATGAGTTTGCTTATGAGTGCTGCCCCAAGTCTTCCTAGGATGTCATGTTATAGGATTTATGCACCATGTTACCTTTCTAAAATCTGCAAACTCCTGAATTCCGAATCCCTTCTGGCCCCAAGCATTTCAGATGAGGGATTATGGACCCGTACCTTCTTACATGTGACGATTTCTGCTTGGAAGTGGGGAGGTCACTGACAGCTCCATGCTGTCTCCAATGTTGGAATGTGAGCTTCATGGAATCTTCTTCTCTTGCCTCAAAGCCAGAAGGTAGAAAAAAGAATGGAGCCTCCAATGAGAGAGAGAGAGAGAGAGACTTTGACAAAATATTTGAATAGTTCCAGGAAGTCTTTTCTCCTGAAACTACTGCTGTGTGAGTGTGAGGCTTGCTGTAAAAATGTGTAACAGGTGTCTGGATGGGAACTGAGATACAGAAGGCATGGGTGATCAAACCCTAGGGTCTCAGCAGCAGCAATATTTTCCCTCCCTCAATAATCCATGGGTCGAGCGTTAGCCCTAAATAGCAGGAGGGTGTCGGGGATGAGTGTGAAAACATCAGCTCTACACAGGAGGTGTACAGACCACAAACTGCTCTAACAGAAAGGCTCTGCTGCCTCCCACATCGCATTTATGTTTGCATTTGGTCACTAAGTCCTTCCCCAATCTCATCCACCTTGCTTACTCAGAGTATCCCAGAAGTCAGCCAATAATAGATAGTTAAAGTGATGGGCAGACAATTCCTCCCACTCATCATGGGGGCTTGGATCCTGTCGTCGCTGATCTTTCTTATGGATTAGACCAGGTGCCTTCTAAACTTCTCACCTATAAACTTAACAACTCCTACAAAACGATGCCACCCAGATGGCTGCAGGAGCACTGCTACCTCTTGACACTTAGATGATTTTGGCTCAGAGCTCCAAATCTTCATCCTGCAGAAGTTAAACCCCCCACCAAGGAACCTATGAATTCCTGGTATAGAAAATCTGTCTTTCTCATGATCACCTCGTCCTACAAGTGTTGTCACTGGACTGTACCAGAGACCCAGAGGTGAAACTTAATTTCTGCTCCCAGAAAATGCACTCACAAAGAGCAAATTAAGTATGGAATAGACTTATGCAAAGATCTGGAGGGAGGCAAAGAGGATGTTTACATGGCTATGGCTCAAAACAAGTTCAAATTGAATATTAGACATCACAGTGCTTTAAAAATAAAATCACCCACTCTATTATAGGGCACATTTGACTCTTCCTTTTATTAATAACTGTAACCCAGACCATCCAACAGAAAAACAATCTACGTATGCAATTTAATATTTCCTGGTAGTGGTATTAAAAATTAATTTATTGATTTTAACCTTCCTTATTTTATCCAATATTGGGAATTTGAATTTCAACATGTAATCAAAATTTAAAAGTATGAATGATGGTTTTAACATTCTTTTTTCATAATGTCTTTCAACACTGTGTATATTTTACACTGACTGAGCTCATTTCAAGAGCTCAGTAGCCAAACGTGGCTCATGGCTGCCTCAGTGGCCAGCCTGGTCTTCTCTCCACCCCAGCCTCCCTTCTTGAGCCCTTCCTCACCATGCCCACAAATAGTCCCAGGAAAGTTCAAATTCCTCTTGATTTTACAAGCCCCTCCCTGGCATCCGCTCCTATATCCCGGGCCTATTTGTGCTTAGTCAATTTCTGTTTTTACAGAGCCATTTTCCTTAGAAGTGAGTTGGACTTTGAATAGCAATTTCTTTTCTTCTCTTACAGTAGAAACCATTATTATCATCTCAATCCCACAGAGGGGGAAACTTGAGCCCCAAAGTTAAAGACATCACAGCTAACACGGTACGATCATGGCAAGTGCAAGGTCAGCCACAGCTCCTCCGGGGTTGCCTTTCCGCTCCAAAAGGGTGAAAGCACAGGGCCCAGAGCTGTGGACTGGCTGTGTTGTTCCCCTGATTTACTCTCTGGGTCCATCATGAGCCTGTGTGGGGCTCCCAATGTCCTAGGCTCAGTTGGACCTTTGCTCTTTCCTCTCCCTATACTCTCTCTGACAATGAAATCTTTACCTCAACCTTCAGTCCCATATCTCCAGCTGCCTACTAGACACTTCTCGATATTTGCATGTAAAACAGAATTACCTGCCGCCTCTCTCTCTCCGCCCCCACCACCCTCCCACTGTCCTATGTACACAATCCAGCTCTTTGTAAGACATAAGACATAGTCTCTGTCAACCCACAACCCAGGTCACCTTGGCCCTGCACCTCTTTCGTGCTCCACAACCTGCCGACTACAATTTTATAAGTGTGATTTTGAGACTTTTAAGTGGTAAACTGAATGTTATAAGTTTACTAACTTTTAAACACTATTAGAATACTTGATAGAACTTGAGAGTCACAATATTCATAACTCCCAATTTAACCAGATTTATAAAACTTTAAAATCGTTGGAAGGTTTTGTTTGTTAGGGTTATTAACTTAAGCCAGATCAGATATTTGAGTTGCTTAGAAAGCTAATTAAGTGTATTAAGTTTATCACTGCAGTTTAAAATGCTTAAAGGAAACTAATAATTAACATAAATGGCACTAATAGTTTAAGGGGAATTTAGTCCTTTCAACTCAAGCCAGTCAAAAACTACTCAAAGGGCTGGGTGAGGTGGCTCATGCCTGCAATCCCAGTGTTTTGGAAGAGGCTGATGGGGGAGGATCCCTTGAGGCCAGGAGTTTGAAGTTACAGTAAGCTATGATTGCGCCACTGCACTCCAGCCTGGGTAACAGAGAATTTGCCTGAGGCCAGGAGTTGGAGACCAGCCTGGCTAACATAGCGAAACTCTGTCTCTACAAAAAAACAAAACAAAACAAAACAAAAACAAAAAAAAGGCTCTAGGAAACTGGGCTTTTACATTTGTCATTCTAATAAATTAAATATTACACTAAAACGCCCAGGTCTGTTGTGCCCCTTGAAGATGTGGGGAGGTGGCTTCTCAACTCTTTAAGCGACCATGAGGTCCACTGTTGGGCGGGCATCTTTGTTACTGAGTTTGTCAAAGAAGACCACAGTCAGGTCATTTTCCAGTGGTGGCTCAGTGGTGCCACAGCAGGCAAGGAGAGGGGCCGGCGGGGCAGGCAGGATGGGGCGGAGTGGAGAAGGCCCATCAACCTTGAGGGAGGCTGGAGCCCCAGAAAACAGAAGAGCCCTTTGCACACATGCTTCAGCTTGGTGCTATTCCCAGAGCTCTTTTGAGGGCACCTTCTCATCTGCCCTCAAGTGCATTCATTATTCCCAATTGTTCAGCCATGGCAGCTGACACTCCATGAGGGTTGGTGACAAGTTCAAGTCCCAGGCCTACAGGCAACAGAACCTGAGGACCCCTGTGCCTCCTGGGTCCTGGTTCTCAGGTTGTCACCACCACACTCCACTGTCCTGAGAAATCAAACACAAACTCTCATGGAGAAGCAGAGAGGTCCCATGGAGCAGATCAATCAAATCTGTAAGCACATATTACATGACTGTCTTGAGATAAGGCTGAAAAATACTTGCCATGGCTTTCATGCTTCTGTACAGTGTGACTATTGTCTCTCTCAGTGGACTCCATTTTAATGACACAGCACTGTCCCCAGCAGGAGCCTGTCTGGTGAATGCAAGTGGGGCCCGCAGTATTTAAATCACATTCAACACTGTAGGCACTCCAAGATGGAAGGAGAATTCCCTAATTAAAGTTTTGTTAGATGGCTGTCTTCACTGTTATTAATTTTATCAAAACAGGGCTTCCTTATAGTGTTTCAGGGGCACCATCTTCATAGTTAAAAATCTGCTTTTGAGGAAAATCGGGGGAGGGGGACCCAGCACAAAGTAAAGGATATTTCACATATGCTTTAATAAAATAAGAGGCAGAAAAGAAAATAAGGCAGTTAGCCCATGTATATTTTTGTTTCAAAGCCATTATATCTAGGAGACGAAATAAAAGATCAATATATCAGACCCGTTATCAGTTACCATTTTAATCATCAAGCCATATGCCTATCATGTTTCTTTGATAATAGCCAAACACAAACATTGGGACAAGAATGAAGAATTGCTGTACTACTAAAAAAAAAAACCTAGATATTCCTCTTCCTTAGAGCTAACTTTTGCCACTTATTTGAGCTATAAAAACAATAATGTTATATGTAGGGTTGTTAGATTTAGCAGACAAAATACAGGACACTCAGTGTCTTAGTCGCTTTTGTGTTGCTATAAAGGCATACCTGAGACTGAGTACGTTATACAGAAAAAAAGGTAGATTTGGCTCATGATTCTGACGGCTGGAAAGTTCAAGACTGGGAATCTGCATCTGGTGAGGGCATTAGGCTGCTTCATGATGGAAGGTGAAGAGGAGTCAGTGTGTGCAGGGATTGTATGGCAAGAGAGGAAGCAAGAGAGAGTGGGAGGTCCTAGGCTTTTTTTTTTTTTTTTTTTGAGACCTCCATCACCCAGGCTGGAGTGAAGTGGTGCGATCTTGGCTCTCTGCAACCTCCGCCTCCTGGGTTCAAGCGATTCTCCTGCCTCAGCCTCCAAAGTAACTGGATTACAGGCATGCACCACCACGCCCGGCTAATTTTGTCTCAAACTCTTGACCTCAGGTGATCTGCCTGCCTTGGCCTCCCAAAATGCTGGGATTACAGGCGTGAGCCACCACATCCAGCTGGTGCTAGGCTCTTTTTAACAACCCACTCTCATGGGAACTAAGAGTGAGAACTCACTCACTCACCACTCTCCATCACCCAGGGCATTCATCTATTCATGAGGATCACCCCATGACCCAAACACCTCCCATTAGCCCCACCCCCAACATTGGGGATCAAATTTCAACATGAGGTTTGGCAGAGACAAATATCCAAAACGTAACACCCAGTTAAAATTTTCATATAAGTATATTCCACATACTGCATGGGACATGATGCAATAGTTAGGACATGACTTAAACTAAAAAATTGTTATAAAAATGTTCATTGTTTATGTTAAATTCAAATTTAATGAGGTGTCCTGTGTTTTACCTGGCAACCATAGACGTATGGTCATTGTGGTTATGCATGCCTAGCATCTGTGAAATGTCCCCCTCCCTTCATTTCCCTCAAAAGCAGATTTGTTTGTTTGTTTGTTTTGTTTTAAGATGGAATTTCACTCTTGTTGCCCAGGCTGGAGTGCAATGGCACGATCTCAGCTCACTGCAAGCTCTGCCTCCTGGGTTCAAGCGATTCTCCTGCCTCAGCCTCCCAAGTAGCTGGGATTACAGGCATGCACCACCACGCCCGGCTAATTTTGTATTTTTAGTAGAGATGGGGTTTCTCCATGTTGGTAAGGCTGGTCTTGAACTCCTGACCTCAGGTGATCTGCCCGCCTTGGCCTCCCAAAATGCTGGGATTACAGGCGTGAGCCACTGCACCCGGCCCAAAAGCAGATTTTTAATTGTAAAGATAGTGCCCCTGAAACACTATAAGGAAGCCCTGTTTTGATAAAAATTAGTAACAGTTAAGACAGCCACTTAACAAAACTTTAGAAAAAAAATTAAACAGGTAGCACAGGCATAGTCTTCTTTAGTTATCATTTCACTGTTGGATAAAGCAGTCTTTCCTAACCTGATAGAGTTTCCATCTTAGAAAAGTGGAGTCTGGAGGAAGTTGACCAGGGTTACTTAGCTAGACTGCAGTGGAACAGAGTTCAGATCCAGGTCTGTGGAAGTCCAAAGCAGCTCTTCATCATGACCCTGTATCACCTCTCAGACACAGAGCTAATAATGCAGGCAACCATGGCTTTAAAAAAAAAATGTGGTAAAATACACATAACAAAATCTTAATTATTATTTTTTTTTTTGAGACCTAGTTTCGCTCTGTCTCCCAGGCTGGAGTGCAGTGGCGCAATCTCAGCTCACTGCAAGCTCCGCCTCCTGGGTTCGCACCATTCTCCTGCCTCAGCCTCCTGAGTAGCTGGGACTACAGGCGCCTGCCACCACACCCGGCTAATTTTTTTGTATTTTTAGTAGAGACAGAGTTTCATCGTGTTAGCCAGGATGGTCTCGATCTCCTGACCTTGTGATCTACCCGCCTCAGCCTCCCAAAGTGCTGGGATTACAGGTGTGAGCCACCATGCCCAGCCAAAATCTTAACGATTTTTAAGTGTACAGTTCATTAAGTGTTAAGTACATTGACATTACTGTGCAAACAATCTCTAGAACTCTTGCAAAACTGCAACTCTGTTCTACAAAACAACAACTCCTTGTTCTTCCTCTGGTCAGTCTCTGGCAACCACCATTCTCTTTTCTAACTCTGTAAATTTGACTGCTGTAGACACCTCATAGAAATGAAGTCATGCTGTATTTGTCCTCTTGTGACCTGCTTGTTTTTCACTTGGCATAATGTCCCCAAGGTTCATCTGTGTTGTAGCATGTGTCAGAACTCCCTTCCTTTTGAAGGCAGAATAGTATTCCATTGTGTGGATATAGCACATTTTAGTTGACCCAAAGATCCACAGATGAACACTTGGGTTGCTTCCAACTCTTGACTATTGTGAAGAGTATTGCTATAAACATGGGTGTACAAATATCTGTTCAAGACTCTGCTTTCAGTTCTCTTAGGTATATATGCAGAAGTAGAATTGCTGAATCATATGATAATTCTGTTTTTAATTTTTTGAGACACCACCATACTGTTTTCTACAGTGGCTACACCACTTTACATTCCCACCAATGGTGCACTAGAGTTTCAATACCCAACATCCTCACCAACACTTTTATTTTCTGTTGTTTTAAAAATAGCAGTCCTCCTAATGGATGTGAGGAGGGCTCTAGGACGAAATCCGTCTCCATGACAAAATCAAATAAACCATTAGAGTTGATTTTGTTTTTATTAATCTCATTATTTGTTTTGTTGGAATCTGAAGAGATTATTTTACAGAGTCATTTATTCCATTACTATTATAATGAACACTAACATGGTTATTACTAATAGTAATGAGCAGTGTATACTGAGCACCTACTGGAACCAGGCATTAACTGGGTGCTATGCAACCATTCTCATTCAGTCCTTGCAACAACCCTACAAAGTAGATGCTCACCAGTATTGTTTTCATGTGACAGATGAGGAAAAGGCTGCTTAGAGAGAAGTTAAGTAAGTTGTCCAATGTTATGAAACTTGTAAAGCTGGGATTTCAATCCAAATATTCTGACTCCAGCAGGGAATGGAGGCTCACACAGGTAATCCCAGCACTTGGGAGGCCAAGGTGGGGGGATCACTTGAGGCCAGTTCAAGACCAGCCTACGTAGTGAGATGGGGCAATGTCACTACAAAAAAAGTGAAAAAAAATTACACAGGCATGGTGGTGCACACCTGTAGTTTTAGCTATTCAGGAGGCTGAGGAAGGAGGATCATTTGAGCCTGAGAGCTCAAGCTGGCAGTGAACTATGATCACACTATTGCACTCCAGCCTGGGAGACAGAGTGAGACCCTGTCTCTAAAAAAATAAAAATTAAAAAAATAATGAATTATTGTAAACTCACTATTTAAAAACCCAAATATTCTGATTCCTACACATGACCCTTTCGATGGAGCTTCATAAGAAAACACCACCCTCCCACTCAAGATGATCAATTTGAGGGTCATTAAAAATGTGTTGTACCATGGGACCTTTTGAATACGACTCCTTTCAGAGAACTTGAAAGCTTCTTTTTAAAACCTGCTTTATTAAGCTATAATTCACCTATCATAAAGTTCACCCATTTAAAGTGTACAATTCAGTGGTTTTTAGTATGTTCACAGATACGTGCAAACGCCATTATAGCCAATTTTAGAACATTTTCATCACCTCAAAAAGAAACTTTGTACCCTTTGGCCATTGCCTCTCATTCGCCTGATTCCCCCTGCGCCTAAGCAACTACTAATGTACTCTCTGCCTCTGTTGATTTTCCTATTCTCGACTTGCATATGAATTGGATCACATAGTATATATTTTTTTTGTGATTATTGCCCTTGGCATAATGTTTTTAAGGTTCATCCATGTTGTAGCATATATCAATAACAATACTTTATGCTCTTTTATGGCCAAATGAAATTCCACTGTATGGATATAGCACATTTTGTTTATCTATTCACCCATTAATGGATATTTGGGTTGCTTCCACCATTTGGCTACATGAACAATGCTGCTCTGAACACTCATGTTTAAATGTTCGTGTGGACGTGGGTTTTTATTTCTCTTGGCTATATACTGTCTTAGTTTCTTTGGGCTTCTATAACAAAATACCATCAACTGGACAGCATATAAACAACAGAAATTTATTTCTCACAGTGCTAGGGGCTGGGAAGTCCAAGATCAAGGTACTGGCAATGTATTAGTCCATTTTCACACTGCTATAAAGATACTACCTGAGACTGGGTCATTTATAAACAAAAGAGGTTTAATTGACTCACAGCACAAAGCGCAAGTGCTGCACTTTCAAACCATCAGATCTCATGAGAACTCACCCACTATCATGAGCATGGCATGGGGGAGCCATCCCCATGATCCAGTCGCCTCCCACCAGGTCCCTCCCTCCACACGTGGGGGTTACAAGTTGAGATGAGATGTGGCTGGGGACACAGAACCAAAGCATAGCAGGCAGATTCCAAGTCTGGTAAGGACCAACTTTCTGGTTCATAGACGGCCATATTCTTGATATAAACTCACATGGCAGAAAGAAAAGGGAGTTCCATGGGGCCTCTTTTATAAGGACACTAATTCCCTTCATGAGGGATCTGCCCCCATGACCTAGTCACCTCCCAAAGCCTCACCTTCAAATATTGGGCATTAGGATTTAACATATGAGTTTTAACATATAAACATTCAGTCTATAGCATATACCTAGGAGCGGAATTACTGAATTCTATGGTAACTCCATGTTTAATCAGTTGAGGAACTGCCGGACTGTTTTCCAGAGCAACTGAAACATTGTACATTTGCACCAGAAATATATGAGGGTTCTGACTTTCCCATATCCTTCCAAAACTTGTTATCTGACTTTTTTATTCTAGCCATCCTGGTGGGTATAAACAGGTACCTTGTGGTTTTGATTTACATCCCCTGTGATGACTAACAATGTCAAAAACCATGGTATTATTATACTTCTCTGTGAAATCCTGCACACTCTCCTTGCCTCTTGCTGCAGTGACAGACCTGGGTTCAAGTCCAAGCTCTGCACTTAAAACTGTGACCTTGGGCAAATTACTTAATCTCTCGGTGTCAAGGTTTTCATCTGTAAAATGAGAAAAGGCCTGTAAAGCATTGAGATGTGCACCTAGCAAACAACATTCAATACATATGAGCAATTATTATTACAAGGCAGTGAGATAATATCATACATGAGAGTGATTGGTGCTTAAAACACTTCAAATGCTTTCTCATTGCCTACAGAGTAAAACCCAAGGTCCTCAGTATGGCCCACAGGACAAGTCTGATTTGTATCTGCTTCTCAAGTTTTATCTCCCAGTGATCCGCATCAACCTCTAGGTTTTAATAACACCACACTACTTGTAGTTTTTCCAAACACCATGTCTTTTCATATCTCCATGACTCTGTTTATGCCATTCCCTCCGTCTGAAAGCCCTCTCCAGTTTTCTTGGCGCAGTTAACATATACAAATCCTTTAGGACTCAAAGAGATTGGGTTGGGGACTCTTCTACAGACGTTCATTGCTTCCCTTACCTACTGTTTTATATTGAAATGATCTGCTAGGTGTCTATCTCCAATATGCAGAAAACACCTACCATGTACCAGATAATGTGCTATGCTTTGTGCTGTGCAGAATGGCATATATGATTCCCGCTCCCACTAAGCAGAGTTTGAAGGCAAGAAGGGATCAAACTTTTTGAGCCTTGTGATATCCTTAAATCATACTAGCTTGCTGCATAGTAGGTGCTTTAAAATGTTGTCAAACCAACCAGAATCGGATGTGTACAGAAAGGACAGCCCAGCCCAGTTCTGAACTTCCTCCTAATACATGTGTTTTATTGACTGTTTTAAAGAAGCTAATGGGCAGGGCAAATTCCAGGTAAAATTAAGTGTAAGTGTCTCTTAGGCTCATGTCCACCCTTTAAGCTTTCTCTTGTAGGGCCACCAGGCATCAGATACCCAGCGTTGTCTTAGCTATGCTTGGGCTCCTGGCTCCCTCTGCCGTCACTGTTATTTCCTCCTTTCTTTTGGCACTTTGGGAGGCCAAGGCAGGTGGATCACTTGAGGTCAGGAGTTCAAGACCAGCCTGGCCAGCATGGTGAAAGCCCATCTCTACTAAAAATACAAAAATTAGGAGGGCGTGGTGGTGCATGCCTGTAATCCCAGCTACTCTGGAGGCTGAGGCAGGAGAATTGCTTAAACCCAGCAGAAGGAGGTTG
Organism: Homo sapiens; assembly: GCF_000001405.40. Lineage (NCBI taxonomy): Eukaryota > Metazoa > Chordata > Mammalia > Primates > Hominidae > Homo > Homo sapiens. The sequence continues at coordinate 244,014,825 of NC_000001.11, read as the reverse complement.
CAGTGAGCTGAGATGGTACCACTGCATTCCAGCCTGGGCAACAGAGCAAACTCCATCTCAAACATAAATAAATAAATACATAAAATAAAATCTCTCATATGCTCCTTTCTCTATAGTGTTAGCCTTTCTGACACAGAAGCCCAAATGTGAGATTCTCCTCTCTTATACAGCAAGGAGCTCTTGCTGTCTGGGACACACAGATGACACCACTACAAGGAGAGACATAGCCACTCGACCAGCGCAGAAGCAACATCTAGACTGGCAAATTTCTACCAGAAGTGCCTGAAAGTGCTGATGATTTAAAGTTAATCCAGTTAATATAAAGTTAAACTGGTTAAAAGGATAAGCTCCTTAAAGAAGATTCATTTAAGAGGGAATTTTAATGCTGGCAATTTCTACAAGGCCTTATGAAGAGACACTCTGAGGGCTGAGGAACGTCATCCTCCATTATCAGCATCCTCAATTACAACAATTTGTATTTGTCCTGATGGACATTAGTGGATCAGTTTATACATGTAATATTATATCAGATATGCAATAATATGTAACATAATATTGGATAATATGTTCTGACTAATAAAATTCAGGAGTTCAATCCAGCAAATACAAAGTAGTCCAGGAAGTAAGATTATTTCCTAACGACTATAGCCACCCAACCTCTGGGTTTTTCCCAGTACATGGCCTAGGATCTCTATCAGGGATGACAAGTCTGTGCCCTGTTGGATAAGGATGCGTGACTCTTCCCTACCAGAGTGTGAATCCACAAAGGCAGGTCCTCTGGCATACTCGTCTCTGGTTCTACAGTGCCTAATAGATTCCTTGGCCCAGAGAAAGAACCAGAAACTCTTGTGGAATGGGAGAAAGAAGAAGGCCAAGAAAGAAGGAGAGAGGTAAAATAGAACCCAGAGTTGCCTCTGGCCCCATAGGGCCATAGATGGTCACTATCCAGCAACTTAGAAAGTTAGGAGGAGCAAATGGTATCGTCTGTGCCATCAAACCACAAATGAGATTCCCTTTAGCCAAAAGGTACAACAGTTGCATTAAGTCAGTTTTGCCAAGAGCTCTGTTCTTTCATTTAGTTATCACTTCAGAAGTTACCTAAACTTTTTCTCAGCTACGGGAATGATTAATGCTGTTATGACTGAAGAAGTTACCATAATAACTCCTTCACTGTTCGTAACTTTCTAAAATTTCAGTGTCTTTGGCCAGTGGCTCACACCAGTAACACTTTGGGAGGTCAAGGTGGGAGAATTGCTTGAGCCCAGGAGTTGGAGACCAGCCTTCGCAAAATAGCAAGACCCTGTCTCTAAAAAATTGTTACAAATTAGCCAGGTGTGGTGGCATGCATCTCTAGTGCTGGCTACTCAGAAGGCTGAAGAGGGAGGATTGCTTGAGCCTGGGAGTTGGAGGCTGCAGTGAATAAAGATTGTACCACTGTACTCCAGCCTGGGCGACAGAGTGAGACCTTGTCTCAAATAAATGAATAAGTAAGTAAACAAATAAGTAAGAAATAAATAAATAAATAAATAAATAAATAAATAAATTTCAGTGTTTTGGTTAGAGTTTTCTCCATTTTTCCCCAGCCCAAAGGCAGCTTTTGGGAGTTTGGGAAATAACTCTCACATTACTTTTAATTTGGTAAAAATTAAATCCTCATTCTTTCCCCCTTACGGTAAAACACAAAATGGAAATAAAATATAGAACCAACCATCTTCCCAGGGTGAATCAAGAAGAATTTTGGGTTCAAGTTAGGAAATACTAATTATTCTCTTTTTTCTGAGTCTTTAAAAAATGACGTCTTTTATTACAAATATTGCTTTGCCTTTTCCACAGGCATAATACATTTTACCTTCAAACAACCCAAAGCCCCGGTGCTAAATTATGTTTTCCTTCAAAGAGGATATAATTTCATATTCCACCAGCACAGCATTTTCAGGCTTACCAATTAAGGCTGTAGAAGAAATTATCACTCTTCTAGTTCCAATCCCTCTTACCTAGCAAAAACCGCAGAATGAAATGGAAAGTCCCGCGTAAAGGTTAGGGAAGCACTCCAGTAAACTGAATGAATGAACATGGATGCTAAATTTTGAGAGCACCATGAATGCTGGCTGTGCTTTGCATTAATAATTAGCACAGTGTTCCCTCATAGAGAGGAGATATGTCCAAACTTGGACTTTCATGACAATTACCCTCGGAGTTTCATTTTGCCTTTTCATCTTTGTCAGTGCTGGCACCAAGCTTGCTGTTGTATGTCTGGCTCTATCAAACAATAAAAGTAACCCATTCAAAAAGTCAAACAACAGGAGTGGTTTTTAGGAAACCAGAAGCCAAACTGATTCACCAGGTTGGCCTCCTTCCCAGGGAGAGAGATAATGCTAGCTAGTCGTCGTAGCCGTTAGCCTGGGCAGGAGCAGAGTGATCGCACTTCAGGATTCCCGACTACATGGCTGGCCAGGCGAGTTAAAGAATGTCTAGGGTGAGAGTGATAATGGAGGTGACTCTGGGTTGGAGCAAACCCTGAATTAAGTTGGTACATTCAAAGTTGCCATAGAAACCCTGTCTGAATGTCCTCGCTTCAGCAGAATTGATTTTATGTTTAAACGTTAATATGCCTTCTTATACTTAATGATATACAAAGTAGAAAGAAGATGAATATGGAAGAAAGAAAACATACTCTAACATCTGAAATACTTAAGCCATTAAATAATTTTCCAATACTAAGTCAGCCTTTGAAACTGATTGACCAAAGAAGAGGTAGCGTGGGTTGCCACGACTGGGAGCTGTTTAGGAAAGTCTTTACGCCTTTATGTCAAATGCCGCTGCACTCTCAAAGGCACTGCTGTAATTCAGCGAACCCAGCTTGTACTTGAAGCCAAATGAAATGCAAAGTTGCCTTTCAATAGCAAACCTCACTGAGGAAATGCCAGTTAGCAATTGTGAGAAGTTTCAGCTACTGTATTTTCACAGATTGCATTTTTCCACTCAATGTCCGTGAGAAAACATTTGGAGGCTCTTTAAAAATGGTTACATTATCAATTAATCTATAGTATGTTTTAAATAAATATTTCTATTAAATGTAACAAAAACCGGCATTTGTATTGCTTGCACCTAAATTATCATCATCATTGCAAAGCAGATGTGGAATGCAAGCCGAGGCGAACAATCGGCACTGTAATTTGCCCAGTAACATTGTTTTAGATCTAATTAGTGCTTATGCAGATCCTTTACAAAAATGTGAAAACTGCACCAGGATGTAATTGTTTAATGAATTTAGTGCAAAGCACATCTGCATAAATTCCATTTTAGCTGAAAAAACTAAGTTCAACTGCTATTTGCTCCAGAGCCAAAACATTGTGAATTGTGCCCACTGTGCTTTAGCCCTGCTCTGCTGGCTTGGATATTTCAAATAAATACTACAAAGTTAAAGCCTCCAGCTGCAGACCAACCCATCTGTAGATGTTTGTTATATTTGGCAGCATTGTAGAATGATTGTGCCTTCCTGCTGGAAAAAAAAAAAAAAAAAAAAAAAAAAAAAAGGGAAGGGGGAAAAAACAAGGTTTTGTCAGCAAAAAAAAAAAAAAAAAAAAGTAAAAGTTTGAAATATTCATTGCTCGACAAAAGTTCTGAATTTGAATCTAGTTTACCTAGCAGTGAGTTTTAAACACCTGTTCACATGGGGTCTACCATGCAAACCAGAATACTACCCTTTTTTCCCAGTTCTCCCCAACATTCCATTTCTGTTAAAAATCACAGAAAATTGAATTGGACACAAGTTTACTAAAATTGGAATTTAAGCACTTCCCTTAACTTTTCAGAGATTTTACTAGTCACTTTTTGTGGTCAGTGTTTAAACACAAAAATCCATAACTTCTATAAAAAGACATAAGTTAATTACGGATACTTACATGATTGTCTGGAAAGGGAACACTTCTCCATTTCTGGTTTTTTGTTTTTCCTTTTTCTTTCAGTTTTGGCTTCTCTGTTTTTTTTTTTGGTGCAGCACAAATAAACTGCCAAACGAATACTGTTTGCTCTATTAAATGGCTCCTGTACAAATAGGGGTGGGGTGGACAGCAGGGCTTGAGGATGGGGACAGTGTGGAGATGTTTGGGCCTGAGTTAGAAGAATTCTGTAAAACGATAAACAACAAATATCATTCTTCAGCATCGAGCGCAATGTTCCAATTTAGCCTGAAACAACCCTGAAAAGTATGCCATCGATGTTCTGATGGAACCAGGAATTGTTGTTCTGTTTCGGTTGGTTATCCACTGTAGATCCATCTAGTCTCAGGCTGTCTTAGGTTAAAGTTCCCTGAAACCAGACTCTGTGGATTCAGAGATGAGCCCGCAGCACACTTAAGTGAGGCGTGTTGGTGAGTCACACCTGTGACGGAGTTAGGGCACAAGAGTGGGTGGAAAGAGATGTTGACTTCTGGTGCACCTGCAGCAGGGGCCTCAGCCAACCACACGGGGTGCTCCGGAGCTGGGATGTCCCTTCAGTGTTGGATGGAATTGAGACATTGGGGCTGAGTCTTTTCACCCCTGCATCCATCAGGCATTGGACATGCCACTGGGGAGGGGTGCAGGCTTGGGTGGGGAGTTCCCTTTGGCTGGGGGACATCTATGAGCTGACTGCAAACCCTCCCAAAGGCTGGGGAAATGGTGCCTGGGTCCTGAGCAGGGATCTGGACTGTAAGTTGCCACATCCACTCTCATATGCTTGAATCTACTTACTCTGTATTAACTATTTCACCCCGTCTGGGAACCATGCCTTCAGGATTCTCTTTTTCTCTTGTCCTGGAGAAACTTCAAAAGGAAGGTTAGTGGGAGGAACTATAGTCCCTGTAGCTATAGCTGGTCTTGACTCTATAACTGCTACCCATCCCCTCACTCCACCTCTACCCATTCCATATTCCCCTCACCTCCAGCTAGCACCTCTGCTGATGCAGGTGGCTTACAGAGTGGGGTGGAGCTGAGCCTCATCCCTAGGACCCTGGTCACCTGTGCTTTCAGGCTGTACATACTGCACTTGTCTGTTTATCATCACAGTTTGCCAAGGGGCACCAATAGACACCAAAACAATATGCATAGCAGGCATATCGTTTCCTGCCCCATTGTATAAATAGCAGCCCTACCTCCTCCTGATGATCAGAGTCAATTATTCCCGCCAGGAGGGAAACTCTTTTCCTTGCCTGATAGTTTCTAGGCACAAGGGTGCTGGAAGACCCAGTGGCAGCTATAGCTTAAAGTTTTTTTTTTGTTTTTTTTTTTTTTTTTTTTTTTTTTTTTTTTTTAGAGATTGGAGGTCTTGCTCTGTCTCCCAGGCTGGAGTGCAGCGGTGCAATCATGGTTCACTGCAGCCTCAAACTCCTGGGCTCAAGGGATCCTCCCTCCTCAGCCTCCAGAGTAGCTGGGACTATAGGTATGCACCACCATGCCTGGCAGCTTAAATTTGTGTGTGTGTGTGTGTGTGTGTGTGTGTGTGTGTGTGTGTGTGTGTGTGTGTGTTTTGAGGTGGTGTCTCACTCTGCTGCCCGCAGGCTGGAGTGCAGTGGCGTGATCACAGCTCACTGGAATCTCCACCTCCCAGGTTCAAGCAATCCTAAGCCTCTCGAGTACCTGGGATTACAGGCGTGCGCCACCACACCTGGCTAATTTTTATATTTTTAGTAGAGACAGGGTTTCATCATGTTGGCCGAGCTGTTCTCAAACTCCTGACCTCAAGTGATCCACCTGCCTCGGCCTCCCAAAGTGCTGGGATTACAGGCATGAGTCACCATGCCTGGCCCCTGGCAGCTTAAAGTTTAATGGGACTCTTGCTCTGCCCCCTGGTTGAAGCATTCCCTTCTCAGAGCAAACCCTCTGACCCCACAGAACCCAGAGCAGAAGAGATGCGAGGCACAGATTCCCTAAGCGGGTCGCTGGGAGGGATGGTGAGCAGGACTGTGCCTCCCTCTGTGTTTTGGTTCCCAGATGTGTGTATTCTACCTACCAGGGACACAGTACCATATAATGGTCACTGACTTACGGTCCTGGAGGATATGCAGAGTATCATCTTCAAGCCAGTGCCTGAACCGATCCTTTACAAGCCTGTTTCATCTCTTCACCAGGCCAGCAGCTTCTGGGAGATAGAATATGGGATAGGAGGAGCAGAGCCCATGGTCCAATGCTCCTGCTGCACCTCCTTTGCTGTAAAGTTGATTGCTTGGTCCCATGCATGTGATGTGGGCTCCCATGTCAGTGGAGCAAATACTCTGTGGGCCTTCACATAGTAGCTTAGGCCCTGTAGGCAGGAAAACTAAACTCATACCTGGTCTATGTATCAATTCTCATCAAGATAAATCATTTCCTCTTCTGGAGTGGAAAGGATGCAAGGAATCAACTCCCTGCTAAGTGGCCGTTTGGTCCCTCTGCGGGATGATGCTCCATCTTGGGCTGCGCATTTGTCTCAGTGACTTGCAGTTTGGACATTCAGAAGCAGTAATGACTAAGTCAGCCTTAGTGAGAGACAGCCCATGCTGCTGAGCCCACACGGACCCTCCATCCCTGAGGTAGCAGCCACCATGTTTATGCACCAGCTGTACCAGCACGTAGGCGGCCATGAGAGAGGCTAGCTGACATGGGCGAGTGAGTCGCTTTATAGCGAAGAAGTTGCAGCAGGGAGCATTTGACCGTGGGCTCTGCTCATCCTGTCACTTATTATATCTCCTAGAAGCTGCTGGCCTGATGGAGAGATGAGATGGGCTTTTAAAGGAGCAGATTAGCTACCGGCTTGAAGATGAAACCCTGCATTCTTGGGACACCATCCTCTAGGACCCTAAGTCAGGGACCATTATGTGGTACTGTGTCCCCATAGGTACAATACATGGGCCACTAGTTTTGTGTTCTATTTGGTTGTTCGGTGCTTCTCCTGTAGTAGATGCCCTCTGGTAGGCATTAAAAGGGGATGCAAGGCCTCTGCCCAGTGTTCTATCCACATGCCTCTTCCCCAGAGTCCTTGTCCCTGATATTCCCATTCTTGCTCCTCCCAGGTCCCTGGCCTAGCCTTTTCCATCACCCATGGATCTCTCTATAGGTCACTTTTTTTCCTCAAAAGTGAATGATAACACAGTCCAAAGCTCCTCCTATTGGGAAGAGGATTTTCCCCTCCCTCTGTCTTTCAAGGACACTCAAAGGAGGGACGGCATGCAGTCACTGTTCACTTTTGGCTTGCACCCGCAAGCAAATCTGACTCTTCCATACACTAAGCTTGGCCTTTTTCTTCCTCCATCAGTTGATCAATAAGAGGCTCTGCAGCCCTCACAGTCATGCAGGTGGTCATCATAAATATGAATGGCATGAGAGGGGCTATGTGGCAGGGGTGGGTGACAGGAGGGTCTGGGCCACCTGCTTATCCAGCTCCCCTGTGTCCACCTGCCCTGCTGATGCTCGATTCTGGATGTGCTACTTCTATCTTATGACGGATTGCTCCTAGGCCCACCTGACCTTATGACTTGATGGGTTGAATAGAACCCACATCATCACAGGCAGTCTGGCCACATGGTCACCTGATGTCCCACGTTCATTTCAACCAAGGCCCATTGGCACGCCAGGAGCTATTCTTTCAAACGGTATATAATTCTCTGCTGCAGATGGCATGGCCTTGCTCCAGAACCCTAGGGGTCTACATTGTGCATCTCCTATTGGGCTTGCCATAAACTCCACATGGCATATTTTCCCACTCAGATACTTCTAATAACAGAAGGTCTGCTGATCATACGGTTCAAGCAGCAGGGCTGCCTGCATCACAACCTAGACCTGACGCAGAGCCCTTTCTTGCTCTGGGCCCCACTCAAAGCTGACAGCCTTCTATGTCACTTGGAAAATGTATCAAAGTCATATTTCCAAGGAGGAAAATGCTACCTTCAGAACCCAAAGAGGCTTACCAGGTGATATGCTGTCCTCTTAGTGAGGGGAAATATGAAATGCAGTCAACTGTTCTTTACTAAATGTTCATAGATATGATAGACACCTCAGTGTTTGTGGGGTTTTCTCACACCCTCTGAAGCACATATGTTAGCAGGTCTCTAATTACTTGCCACATCTTGTTAATGTGAACCTATTAACTTGACGTCATCAAATTAGTGGACCAATGTAATGTTCTTCAAGTGTCCAGACAGTCCAAGTTCCCTTTGGACTAAATTATTGCAAGGAGAAGAGTTGATATATGTTTGGGGAGAGATGGTAAATGTATACTGTCATCCACTCCATGTGAATGTAACCTGCTTCTGGCACTCTGTTCTGACAGGAATAGCAAAGAACACATTTGTCAAACCAAGGCCACACACCATGTACCTGAGGATGTGTTACTACGTTCTAGCAAAAACAACTACAACAACAAAACTGTGTCTGTAATGACATCAGAAATTGGAACTTGGAACTATTACTCGGTTGAGTTTGAGTCTGCATAGTTCACATCCTCCAGAATCTTTCTGGTCTTTGTGGGGCCCAGACTGGTGAATTAAATGGGTACTATGATTAGAACCACTACTCCTAGGCACTTTAAGTCTTTGTGGGTGGCACTAATCTCTACCATTCTCCCTAGGATGCAATATTGATTTCATTTTCATTTACTCTTTTGGCCAGGGTAGAGGGGCAGTTTCAGAGTTTTGTTTGTTTGTTTGTTTTTTGAGACAAGGTCTCACTCTGTCACCCAGACTGGAGTGCAGTGGCATGATCATGGCTTACTGCAGCCTTGACCTCCTGGGCTCAAGTGATCCTCCCACCTCAGCCTCCTGAGTAGCTGAGACTATGGATGCATGCCACCATGCCCAGCTAATTTTGGGGGAGCTTTTTTTTGGTAAAGATGGGGTTTCACCACATTGCCCAGGCTGGTCTCTAACTCCTGAACTCAAGCAATCCACCCACTTGGCCTCCCAAAGTGTTGGGACAGCAGCCGTGGGCCACTGTGTCCGGCCAGAGTTTTCCTACTTAACCTTCACTACTACAGTAGTTATCACTCCACAAACTCACAAACCAAGAAATCAATGTGGGGTTCTGCCAAAGACCAAGTATATCCATTCCGATGATTCACTGAGACTAAGAAAATTACCATTTGGTAGGTTGGAAGACCCAGGGGACCCACTGTGAATCAGTCCAGGTCCAGGTCTTTATTAATCACGTGATGCTCATGTACCCTGTTCTAACAGGAGGAGCATGATGATGCTCCAGATCCTCAGGTATTAATGTGAACACAGACCTTGCATCCAACAATCCTGAACATGTCCGAGTATCCCTCTTCCCCAACCAGATGATTACCTCAGTAAAAGGCTATAGGTTCCTTTGGAGAAATATTGGGCAAATCATCATCATATACAGTTGCTATGGTGATACAGGATCCTTCCTCCTAAGGACCCAGGTTATCCTTCAGTTAATGGATTCCAGGTCTGAAAACTGGCGCACATGTAGAAACTAATAAGGGATCATGATGTTTTAATGGGATGGCCGCCCTTGGCCTCTTGATCACTCATTCTTAATTTCTTTTGAGGTACAGATTGAGCAATACCCTTGTCAGCTGCAATCTATCTTGCTCCTAGAAATACCAAGCTCTATTAACCATTACCATAGCTCTCTGCAGAGCACCCCTTCCCAACTCTATCCTAGATGCCCATTATAATAATTGTACCCACCTTGATTCTGCTGGTTAAATCTATTGTTTTGGAATCTTTTCATCCTCATTGCTATCAGGAAGCCCAGTTCTGTAACAACATCTCCCACCATCAGTCCCTGCCTGCAGAGGACAACCAATAGTGAGCTTCTCCACCATATCAGAAGCCCCTTTTATCAATAGATTCCATATTGCTTTGGAGGGGATGTTTTAGGATCCCTTAGAGTACTGGATCCCTATATATTCGTTGACAAATCAGAGAAGTACAGGTGCCCCCATAGTTTCTCTCTGTGTGTCTCTCTCTCCTCTCTTCAGCTACACACACAGATACACATGCACAAATGCACTCAGGCACACACACATGTGGATCAGGATCCTCATGGGATTTCTCTCACTTTCTGTAGCATGATCAGAGGCCTCTCATGTAATATAGTCAGCTGGTAGATTTTCTGGATTGAATAGTATTCCCAGTCTAGCATGCCCACTTATCTGAGCCTTTCGATCTCTTCCTCCATCATTTTCCACAGAAGTTCTAGTAGTCCTGGTAGCTCATCACTCTTGCTATACTTCTGAGTACCAACCTAACAGTGTATTCCCAGAGTATAATCTCCCAGGTCCTTGCCAGGATGTATAATTCTATAGCATGGGAGAGACTTCCCATATCAACAAACTCCGTTGTCCGACTTTATAATCCTTTCCCTCTTGATCTAGCACTTTCAGGACCCAGCCCCATACATACGTTCCCAACTTTTGCTGTTGTATGTTTGCTAGTTCCTACAGATTCTTCAACATATAGTTCCCTTCTTCCCTCACCAGGCCCAACATTTCCCCAACCAGGTTATGCTCTGACTTGGTCCTAGTGGTTGATCTGACAGGGAGTGGATGTTGGGGCAGATCCTGAGGTGGAGAGGGGCATGTGTTGCCTTGCAAGGTGAAGACCTCCTCATCATTCTCATGGAAGTGGGGGTGGGGGTGCTAGCCTCTAACAGGGAGGAGTGGGCCACTTCTGCAGGCCCGAGGACTGCGGAGAACCCAGCTTTTCAGGGCTCACGCAAGAGTGATCAACCCAGATATCCCCATCCCAAGGCTCAGAGTCCCACTTCTTCCCAACCAGGGCCATGATTTGGGTGGAGAATTTGCTGGGATTGAGGATCCCATCTTCTCTGGAGCTCCACTAACCTTATAATTGAGTCCTAGGCATGATCCTCAATTTATTTATTCTTATTATTTGCCTCTGACTTCAGGAGATGGGGAACTCTTCATGTGCTGCCAAGGAGGTCCTCCAACTCTCACACTTTGCCTTAAATTAGTGGTTATTCACTCGCAGCCTTTCATTGTCTTTCTCCAGTGTATTGGTGTCACTCAGAAAGAGCTATCTGATGTCACTGTACTTTTCATTACTATTCCTCTCCATACCCTAAACTCAAGCACCTGAGGACACCTCAATTCATCACTGGCGAATGTTAATAACTGCCCACTAACTATGCCAGGGGATTGTGGATGATCTAATTCCCAAAGTCCATTTCAGAGTAGGCACACTTAGACCTGCCCCCTGGCACTAACTGTCTTACACCGGGTGATAGATCTGAGACACATTTCCATACAAGAAGGGCCTTAGGGAGCATCTGAAGAACAATACTTGGGAGAGACTGAGGGGAGAGCAGGATTCTCAAGCCTCACCTTGGCAATCAGGCACCTGCCGATTCCTAGCACCTCCCGTCTCTTTAAGTTGTCCTAACACCTTCATCTTGCACCCTTTGTAGAGATGATCCAGGCTTCTGTGGTTCTAAAGCAGCTTCTAGATGAGGTAGAGATTAAATCACTTTGGCTCAAAACATTATCCTTTCAAATCAGACAAGTACAGGTGCCCCCATAGTTTCTCTCTCTGTGTCTCTCTCTCCTCTCTTCAGCCACACACACAGGCACACATGCACACAGGCACACACACATATGCATGCATGAATGTGTGCACAAGCACAACACACACACACACACACACTTGCACACATACACTCCTCCCAGAACAAGTTCATCAGCTATTATAAAACTCATGTCCACACCATCGCTTCTCTAGAGATTTGGGTGAGAAAAAGAGGCACAGAAGGCTCTGAAATGATCATTAGATAGCGGTTTCTTTGCTTGTTTTATTGTTGGCTTATTATCTACATTGGCAGATAAAGGGAAGAAGTAAGCAGTGTGGGGGCTGGGAGGAAGCACCAATTTTCCCCCAGGGGTTGTCTTGAGTCCATATTCCTTCCCCCAATTCAGCTTACACTCTTCGCCAGGAAATAATGTGGTTTTAAGTCTCTTCCTCTGTTTTTGTTTGGTTTTGCTTCTTGAACAAAGTCTCCTTGATATACCCCTTCTCAGGAGTGTAGCCAGGCTTCCAAACCTGTTGGATTTATTTTACCATAGGACTCACCACTCTCTGACAAGTACATTTGTAGAATCTAGATCTTTAGTTCACTCTTATTCTCACTTGTTTTTCTTTCTTTCTTTTTTCGTTCTTTTTTTTTTCCTTTTCTTGGTTTTAGGAAAAAAAGCAACTGTGGTTACTGTCAATGTTTATTCTCACTTGAAGATATAAAAGGTTTACCTATTTTATTTTGAAGGATTTTCTCCTCTCCTGCCTCTGAAAACAAGACTGTGGGACCCAGATTACTGATCATAATTATTTACAAAAATTATTCCATAACCTATTAGAAACCACATTACTGCAAGTAGAAAATCTAGCATCTTAATAACATATATTACCATTTAGAGAGAGTGAGAGTGACAGAATGCAGTAGCATAATAGGGCTGGAGCACTGGAAAAATGTTTAGGACTCTGATGAAGGGTCTGTTATATAGGCACTTGTCATCTACACTTTTCTGATGAAAAGCAGGGGGGAAATGACTTTCCTTAGCAGAGCTCCATATGAGCCCTGAAAATAGAGCACAGATATGAGAGCACTGCAAATAAGTGCCTCCAAACTAACCCAAAGCAGGGAACTGAGCCAAGCAGCTTTCTCTATTCATGTTGAGAGATGGGAAGAGTTACAGTGAGTAGCAAAGCCATTAGGCAACCACTGGAAAGAAAAGAGAAAAAGAATATGCCCGCAGCTTAATATAGAATATCTAAGCATTAACCTTCAAAAAGACTCACACAAGTTGGAGAAATGGACACACAAAGAGGATGGGGTTTAACAGGGACTGGAGTGGTGTGTCCAACCTGGGGAAGCAGATACAACCACAACCCTTCCAAGTAGGAAGGTCATTTGCTTTGCTTCAGCTTGCACAGCAGCGTGGCCAGTTCCTCAGCCCCTTCTTAGGGGCTGGAAGAGCCCAGTTGGTTCAGATGTCCCCACTATGAGACCCAAGGGAACTCCTGTTCCTGTCAGATGCTGGGGTCATCTTATTCCCTTGTCAGTGATGGTTCAGGAGCAGATACGGCACCGGTTCTATCCAGCGGTCTCGAGGGGAGACCTCCTGGGGCCTTCTAGGGGAAGGACCTTCACACTTACAAAGAAACATAATGAAAAATGGTTTCTGCCTCCTGTCGGATGTTGTTGTGCCTGCCTGTGTCCTGGTAAGTGCAGTGGTTCTGTTACAACCATGAGACCCACTAACTGAGATCAGCCCACATCAGGTGAGCAGAGCAGGCAGGCGGAAAGCACCTGAGCTTCCAGGATTGCTTCTCTGCTTAATCAACTGACTCTGGCCATGTCCTGTGAGTATTCTCTTTTAGGTAAAATAAGACTTTTTTAAAACTACATTTGTCTGGGCATGGTGGTTCACACCTGTAACCCCAGCACTTTGGGAGGCTGAGGTAGAAGGATTGCTTGAGCCCAGGAGTTCGAGACCAGCCCGGGCAACATAGCAAGACCTCACCTCTACAAAACATTTTAAAAATTAAAAAATTAGCCAGACGTGGTGATGCACACCTGTAGTCCCAACTTCTCAAGAGGCTGAGGTGGGAGGATCACTTGAGCCCAGGAGTTCAAGGCTACAGTGAGCCATGATCCTGCCACTGCACTCCAGCCTGGGTGATAGAGTGGGATCTTGTCTCAAAAAAAAAAAATTTCACTTTTTTTTAAGAACAGTTTTAGATATACAGAAAAATCGAGAAGATGTATAGCAAGTTCCCATGTATCCCTCACCCAGATTCCCTATTGTTAACATCTTGCATTAGTATGGTACATTTGTTACAATTAACAAATGTACCAATATACTGGATATATTATTACTAACTAAGGCCCAGAGTGTATTCAGATATCCTTAGCTTTGCCTAACGTTCCATTCCAGGATCCCACCCAGAACACCACATTACATTTAGTTGTCATGATACCTTAGGCTACTCTGGGTTGCGATAGCTTCTCAGATTTACCTTGACAGTTGAGGAGTAACGGTGATGTATTTTGTAGGATACCTCTCTATTGGGATTTGTCTGATGTTTCTCTCACAATTATACCGGGGTTATGGGGTTTGGAGGAGGAAGACCACAGAGGTAAAGTGCCATTTTCATCACATATCAAGGGTACACACTTTCAACATGATTTATCACTGCTGATACTGACCTTGACCTCCTGCCTGGGGTAGTGTTTGTGAGGTTTCTCCACTATCAATTTACTCTTCCCCCCACCCCTCTCTATACTGTATTCTTGAGATAGAAGTCACTATGGGCAGCCCAACCTGAAGGAGCGGGAAGCGTGGTCCACCTCCTTGAGGGCAGGGTATTTACATAAATTATTTGGAATTCTTCTGCAAGGATTTGTCTTTTCTCCCCGATTTATTGACTTATTTATGCAATCATTTATTTATATCAGTATGGATTCATGGATATTTATTTTATACTTTATGTTGCAATCCAATACTACTTATTTTGTTGTTAAAATTCTTCCAAGTTTGGCTGTTGGGAGAGATACTATTTTTTTTTACAGTTATAGTCAGTTGGGTTTTCAGGTTTTTGTAGACAGAAAATTCCCAATTGATATAGCTTCCCCCAAAGAAGAGTTTGCTAGATCATAAGTTTGCAATAAGTTAGTAGGGTAATGCTTTAAAATTTTTTAGCAAGGTATACACAAACAAGAACATTGCATGAAAACTCTACATTCACCCTTCTTTCTGAACTGCTTGACCCAATCTAATTAGAAAAAAACCAAACAGATCATCATAGTCAGAAAATGAAAACTGGTCTTTGATCTCCTACTAATTGGCTGAGTGGCATCATAAATACAGTGATCAAATTAACAAAACCAAAAACTGGGACACCATAGTCAACTACACTATAAATATTCAATCACCTGTGTAGTTACCATTGGTGACGAATCACTTTTGTTAAAAAATAAAATAAAATCATAGGAAAAATAAAACCACTCACACAATTCAGTGAAAATCCATGTCATCCCTTGCCATACTTTAATATTTGATGTGGCCGGGCGCAGTGGCTCACGCCTGTAATCCCAGCACTTTGGGAGGCCGAGGCAGGTGGATCACGAAGTCAGGAGTTCAAGACCAGCCTGGCCAAGATGGTGAAGCCCCATCTCTACTAAAAATACAAAAATTAGCCGGGCATAGTGGCATGCACCTTTAGTCCCAGCTACTCGGGAGGCTGAGGCAGAGAATTGCTTGAACCTGGGAGGTGGAGGTTGCAGTGAGCCAAGATCACACCATTGCACTCCAGCCTGGGTGACAGAGCGAGACTCCGTCTGAAAAAAAAAAATTGATGTCCAGATGTCTTTGGAGACGCTCATATGTCTGATCACCCAGTGTCATCAAGCAAACCTCTGAGCCTTACTGACAAGTCTTCAAATCTGTTAAAAAAGGGACAATATTTCACTACTGGAGCCACAGGGTTTATTTGTAAAATTTAAAATGAAATGATAACTGCAAAAATGTTTAAAAAACTTAAGTACTATCAAAAAGCAAGGTGTAATTCAACACTATTAACTCCCGATTACACACACTTGTGGACCAATTGGAGGATGATCTAA
Source organism: Homo sapiens (assembly GCF_000001405.40). NCBI lineage: Eukaryota > Metazoa > Chordata > Mammalia > Primates > Hominidae > Homo > Homo sapiens. The sequence goes on along the minus strand of NC_000001.11, from coordinate 243,999,208 downwards.
CTGAGCACATGCCACTTCTTCAGTCCTGTTCACAGCATTGGAAATCCCAGACACACCACATTTTTTGTGGTTAAATCAAATAAAAATGAACATCAAGAGCAGCTGAGAAGAAAACAAATCAGGGCATGACAGTTCTGTGTGTGTGTGTGTGTGTGTGTGTGTGTGTGTGTGTGTGTAGTCTGGATGTGGATGTGTATATTTTTGTGTGTGGATGTGTGCGTGTCTCCCTGTGTGTCTATGTGTGGATGCATGTATCTATGTGTCTGTGTGTGTGAATGTATGCAGATGTGTATGTGTCTATGTGTGTCTGTGTGTGTATGTGTGTAAGTGAATGTATGTTTCTGTGTGTGGGTGTGTGTGTCACCATATGTGTGAATGTGTCTCTGTTTGTATGTGAATGTGTCTCTATGTCTGGATATGTGTGTGTCTATGTGTGTATGTGAGTCTTTGTGTGGATGTGTGTATGTCTGTGTGTGTCTACGTGTGTGTGCTGTGTGGGGGTAACATGGGGTACACAGGATGAGCCTGCATCTAGCCTCTCCTGGTGTTGACAATGGTGGCAGTGGTGCTGGATTAAGAAGGGCGGAGGGAAAAGTACCAAGTGATTAGAAGGGGAAGTGGACAGATGGAGCGCGGAATCCAGGTGGCTCTCTGAAGGGCAGAACCACCTCTTTACTGACCACCAACTACCTCCTCAGTCTCTGTCCACAGGCCAGTGGCAAAGCTCCACCAAGAGAAATTGGTCCCAATTCACTCTTTCCTAGGAAGAGCTCTGGTCCCAGTGCCTGAAATAACCAGCAGGGGAGAAGCAGGACCCTCGTCATTAGATACTTACCAGGTTACTACTGCAACTTGTAAAACTCTGGCCCAACTACTAAGGAGGTGAGGGGAAGAGTAAGAATTAGTATGGCCTAGGCTGGGCGCGGTGGCTCACGCCTGTAATCCCAGCATTTTGGGAGGCCGAGGCGGGCGAATCACGAGGTGAAGAGATCGAGACCCTCCTGGCCAACATGATGAAACCCCGTCTCTACTAAAAATACAAAAATTAGCTGGGCCTGGTGGCACACGCCTGTGGGCCCAGCTACTTGAGAGGCTGAAGCAGGAGAATCGCTTGAACCCCGGAGGCAGAGGTTGCAGTGAGCTGAGATGGCGCTATTGCACTCTAGCCTGGGCAACAGAGCGAGACTCTGTCTTAAAAATAAAAAAATAAAAAAAAAGAGTATGGCCTAATCAGATTTTAATGGAAGTAACTTTAGTGAAAGCATGGAGCAATCATGAGTAAAAGAATTTCTAGTGTCTGTGGGACGTGTACAGGCTTTGGGTCTTAAAATTTTTAAATAATTGACTATTTCTAAAACTGCAACATTTCACACTAAAACCTAGATCTCTGGTTTCTCTTGGAAGTGTACCTTCTGGCAATCTTGCCGCTGATCATCTCTTATGGGGACTCTTAGCTGGCGCTAAATGGTGGCAACCTTCTCCTTAGTCTAGTATCTCTGGTTTCCAGAGTTCCCATATACTCTTTGCTTCCTTTCTGTCATTCCCAACCTATTTACTCATTTAAAATACCCTATCTGACCTCAGCATTTTGAGTTTACAGTCTCTGCTCTATGGAGGAGAAGAAAGAAAATAAGGAGAGGTCAGAGGGACAGGCATTAAGATTTCAGATTTCACCAAGGAAACTGGGCTCATGGAAGAAGGTGAAAGGCTAAAAAAAGGAAAAGAGTCTTTTAAAAGATAAAATATATTAAATGAATAACACAAGTTAGATATTGGGAAACCATCCTGACTAAAGATTTCTGAGGCCGGGAATGGTGGCTCATGCCTGCAATCCCAGCACTTTGGGAGGCCGAGGCTGGTGGATCACCTGAGGTCTGGAGTTCAAGACCAGCCTTGGCGACATGGTGAAACCCCGTCTCTACTAAAAATACAAAAAATTAGCTGGGCATGGTGGCAGATGCCTATAATCCCAGCTACTAGGGAGGCTGAGGCAGGAGAATTACTTGAACCCGGGAGGTGGAGGTTGTGGTGAGCCGAGATCATGCCATTGCACTCCAGCCTGGGCAACAAGAGTGAAACTCCATCTCAAAAAAAAAAAAAAAAAAAGATCTCTGAGAAAAAAATTTTGGGGAAATCCAAAAACTATCTTTCTGTGGTGTGGAAACAAAACTACCATAAAAAAATGAACTGGGTTTTCTTTATCATGAAGGACTTTGAAAAGCACATATTTACAAAGGGTTAATTATGCTCAGAAATCCAGGAAACTCTGGAATAATTCCCCCTACGTTAGGATATTATAAAAAAAAAGTTTTAAAATTACCCTGAGACCATTTTCCTATACACAGTTCAATAGCAGATTCAAATCAATCCATTTGGTGTGTATTTTCCCATCTTTAAAAAAGTGACTGAATGCAAATTCTAGGTGTTAGAATTTAAAAGAAAAAACATAAAGAGGGAAATGAGCTTATATGGAGGTGTCTAAGTAAAATAGCACCATTTGATTTAAAATATTCCACATATGCCCCCCCAGAACTCTTAATATTTGAGAATAAAATTAGTGCATATGAACCAGAGACTCATGTGGCCAGAGAGGCTCACAGTGAAATCAGCAAGAAACTGCTTATTCAGCCTCTTCCAACAAAAATGAATTGTTTTGATGAATGAGAATTCTTTAATGAATTACCATATGACATGCCAGTAATTTTTTTAATGTCAAGCAGAGAAAGTTTTTATTTGTCTTTTGTTCAGCCACAGCTACTTAAAAATAATAGAAGGTCATGGCCAGAGACAACACTTTCATTATGGCCCTTGAGAGACAGGATGTGCCTACACTGAACCCAAAGGGAAGGGGATGGGGTGGGTAGAGTTCCTGAATTTCCAACTCTTGGCCTTGTCCTTGTTTTTCTATGTAGAGATGTGTGGTGGTGTTTTATGAATCCAGTGGATGACATTTGGATTCCAGCAGAATCATGTTCAGTTTCTTTCTTTTTAGTTTTCAAAAAATTTTGTGGGTACGTAGTAGGAATCACATCATGGAAAATGGGGCATTCATCTCTTCACGTACTTATCCTTTGTGTTACAAACAATCTAATTATACTCTTTCAGTTATTTTAAAATGTACAATTAAGTTATTATGGACTATAGTAACCGTGTTGTACAATCAAAGAGCAGCATGTCTTATTAATTCTATTTTTTAATGTACCCATTAGCCATCCATATCCAGATTTCATACATTCTACTCTGTCAGCAGAAGTGCTGGGTTGTCACATTTGAGACTCTAGGCATATGGTCGGGGATAGCGTGTGGACAACTTGTGGGATGTTGCCTGAGTGGGGGTGGCTATTAAGGTCAGAGTTGGAAATGAGAACAGGAGGGTACCCGAGGGTCACAGTGAAGTGGCACCCAAGGGCCACTCTGTTATCACTACACTCACACTTCTGACACCAAAGGAAGGAGGGTTATCCCACACCCACCAGTCCTTCAAGTCTTGGTGAACACTGCATGTGTTACAGTTTAACTCAATTCTGATGCTAACTTCCTGGAGTTGGTATCGACCCCTTAGGTTAAGGACTCAGTCCCACAATAAGACAAACTATCTGACTGCACAACAGGGTGATTATAGTTGATAACTTCATCATACATTTAAAAATATATGTACGCCACCAATACGTATCCCCACAGCAGACGCCGGTCACTAACCCCATCTGGTCTTGGCCTCCCAAACTTCTGACTGACTGACTATAAATCAGCTGTTGCCCTGATTCCCCTCCTTGGGTTTGATAATTTGCTAGAATGGTTGACAAAACTCAGGGAAATATTTACTTATGTTTACTAGTTTATTATAAAGGATACAACTCAAGAATAGCCAAATGGGGGAGATGCATTGGGCAAGGGATAGGAAAAAGGGCACAGAACTTTCATGCCCTCTCTGGGCACACTTTCCTCTCAGCAATTCCATGGGTTCACCGACCCAGAAGCTCTCCAAACCCCATTGTTTAGGGTTTTTATAGAGGTTCCATTACCTTCATTATGTAAGCATGATTGATTGATAAAATCTTTGGCCCTTGTTGATTAAGTCAATATCTAGCTCCTTTCCTTTTCCTGGGTGGCGGGGCTAAAAGCTTCAACCTCTAATCACACGGTTCCCCTGGAAACCAGCCTTCATCCTTAGGGGTTTCATAGAGGTCACCTCATTAACATAAACTAAGGTGTGGCTGAAAGGGACTTGTTATGAGTAACAAAAGACGCTCCTCTTACCCCTAACACAATGGAAATTCCAAGCGTTTTAGGAACTCTGCGCCAGGAACTGGGGACAAAAAACAAATATATACTTTTCATTATATCACAGTGTTATGCACGGCAAGGGTACAAATGGAAGAGCACCATCAAAACCGAAGGTCTGGAGCTAAGAGGGCAACATGCACCTGAGATGCCCGACAGGAACTTCCCAAGGGCTCCAATGAGCCAGGACTCAGCATGTGGAAAGACACAGCACTGGCAGATTTGCAAGGAGCACCCCTCTCAGGCCTCACCTTTGAAAGGCATCAACCGTGGCCCCCTTTTACTGCTCAAGTGGACATCTGCGGTTTTTCCTGCCCCGTATCTACCCATCTTCTCACGCTCGATCCACCAGGGTTTTGTGGGGCTAGCCTCATTCCTGGCCCAAGAAGTGGATGTGAGACCTAGGCTGTTCCTGCAGAGCACCAGGTGCAGTGGCCACAGTGACATCTGGGTGGTCAAGCTATCCAGGCGAGGACAATTAGAACAAATGAGACTCAATTCAAAGCCTTTATTTATTTATTTTTTGAGACAGAGTCTTGCTCCATTGCCTAGGCTGGAGTGCAGTGGCTCAATCATAACTCACCGCAGCCTCAGACTCCTGGGTTAAGCAATCCTCCTGTCTTGGCCTCCCAAGTAGCTGAGACTACAAGCGTGCACCACCACACCTGGCTCATTTCTTTTTTATTTTGTAGTGATGGGGTCACAGTACGTTGCCCAGGCTGGTCTCCAAGTCCTGGCCTCAAGAGATCCTCCTGCCTTGGCCTCCCAAAGCAGTGGGATTATAGGTGTGAGCCACCATGCCTGGCCCAATTCCAAGGTTTTTATTGGAACTGTTGGGGAAGGGAAATTCTTTCTGTGGGCATCCTGAGAAGGTGAGAGTCGGTAAGGCCACAGATACCAACATCCACTTGCCACCGTGAAAAGAGTGCTTCCCCAGAACTAAGCTGACCCAGGGGAAACGTGAGCAGGATTCTTAGGAGACCATGTGGGCGCCACACCCCACCAGACCAGATATCAACCCTCCCCTCTCTCAACTCTGCATTCCCATCTTTCTCCAGTCATTTGAGTTGGGATTTCATTCACCTGCAACTAGGAGTCCTGATACTTATCTTAAAGCTGTGGAGTTCTAGGCATGAGTCAAGAAACAGTGCTAGAGAAAAAGAGAGAAAGGAATAGTGAGTTTGAGAGATAAATGAAAGCACAGGTCTTGGGTGCCGCACTGCCATCTCCAGTGAGTCTGCCTTCCTGCCAGAGGGAGTCTTGACTGTTGCGCCCCTTTACAAAACACTTGCTCTACACTTCATTAGGCTGATCAAATCACCTGAAACCCATCCGTTTCAACAGCAGATCTGCATATTATGAAGGTTAATGAGAAGCAGCCACCGTGGAACAAGACACGGCCATCATTTAGCCATGAATTATTTTCCTATTTATTAGAAACAAAGTAACTGTTTAACCAGATAGGTGTTCTGGCTAATAAAATACTGTGATTAATAGAAAGTTAGATGTTACTGTCCAGTAAAATACCCTTAAACTGGACTTGAGTACACAATTTCGTATCTCTTATTTATTTTTATTTTTTCATTTATTCAATAAATATGTCGTGGTGGCTCATGCCTGTAATCCCAGCACTTTGGGAGGCCGAGGTGGGTGGATCACAAGGTCAGGAGATCAAGACCATCCTGGCTAACATGGTGAAACCCCGTATATAAAAATATAAAAAATTAGCCGGGCGTGGTGGCATGTGCCTATAGTCCCAGCTACTCGGGAGGCTGAGGCTGGAGAATCACTTGAACCCGGGAGGTGGAGTTTGCAGTGAGCCAAGATCGCACCACGGCACTCCAGCCTGGGCAATAGAGCGAGACACTGCCTCAAAAAAAAAATAATAAATGAATAAATAAAAATATAATAAAATAAATATGTATAGAGAACCTAATATGTGAAAGGCATTACTCAGGGAGCTGGAGATATAGTGAAGAAAAAAAGAAATGATAATTCTTCTGCCCTTATGAAGCTTATCTTCTAGTGGGAGGAGATCAGTGATAATTTAAAAGTACTTAAGTGCTATGCAGAGAATTAAAATCAATCAATGAAATAGACAGTGACTAGACAATAGTAAGATATTTTTGTAGGAATTGACAAGGTGATTTGAATGGAAATGCAAAGTTTCTATAATCGTCAGAAACATTTTGAAAAGGAATAAAATGTAAGGACTTAACATTACTAGATTTCAAGAGAGTTTTTCTTTCTGGATGTCTAATTTCATCTAGAAATAATACTTGGAGAAATAAATATCACTTTTCAAAGTGTAGCCTACGGATTACTTAAAAGAGCTTTTCAGACAGCGTAGCTTCCTGAGCACCACCCTAAATCCACTGAATCAGAATCTCTAGAAATGGGATCAAAACATGCATTTATACAAACTCCCCAAATGTTTCTGTTGCACAGTAAAGTTTGTACCTAGCAATGTGCACAGGGATGTAAACAAGAATGATTAACCTGCCTCTCAAATCTCAGATGTTCATAGTGAACCCTGACAGTTTCTGGATTTCTTTTCTTTTTCCAGGCTGGAGTGCAGTGGCGCGATCTCGGCTCACTGCAAGCTCCGCCTCCCGGGTTCATGCCATTCTCCTGCCTCAGCCTCTTGAGTAGCTGGGACTACAGGCACCTGCCACCATGCCCGGCTAATTTTTTGTATTTTTAGTAGAGACAAGGTTTCACCGTGTTAGCCAGGATGGTCTCGATCTCCTGATCTCGTGATCCTCCAGCCTCGGCCTCCCAAAGTGCTGGGATTACAGGCGTGAGCCACCGCGCCCAGCCAGTTTCTGGATTTCATTAATTCTTGAATAAATTTTTAACCACTGACTTGATGCAAAGATTTGGTGTTATAGGTTAGAATGAGAACCATGTGCCCTAAAACCAGATGTGAGGGAGGCAATGTTGTCATCCTGTTGTGAAACTTTAAGAATAAGATGTATATTTTCACCAAGACAGAAATCCACTCCCCTGCATGAGCTGGGGGCCTGTGGGAACAGCCAGTATCCCTGAGAGCAAAGCTATGACTCGTCCTTAAATATTTGCACAAGTCCTTGGTCGGCATCTGTGGCACACCTTGTAAAAGAGATGTGTAATGGGTCTACCCAGTGGTTCTCAAAAGAAGACAATTTTGGCCCTCAGGGAACATCTGGTAATGTCTGCAGACATGTATGGTTGTGACAACTGGAAGAGGGGTGCTACTGGCATCTGGTGGGTCGAGGCCAGGGCTGCTGCTACACATCCTACAATGCACAAGACAGGCCTCTTCCCCTCAACCCCAGGAAAGAATCGACAGATCCAAAATGTCAACAGTGGTGTTGTTGAATGTGCTAATTCAAAAACACACCTGCAGGGAGGTGAGCAGACTGACCCAGTGATGGGGCGATGCTCCAACACTGAGACATGAAAGATGAACAGGGAGCCTGAAGTGTCCCTGAGTGGTATTATGAGGTCTTGCCTGCACGTGCATTTTTCCCACTGAATGACGAACTCTCATTCAGTTTGCTTCATCTCCACATCCTCACAGTCAATCGCTTGCTCATTCAAAGAATATTTCTTGTATGCCTGTGTTGTGTCAGATGCTAGAAATCAAACCATAAACACTTCTTGGCTCATAGCCCACAATCTATAACATTTTGTTGAGTGATTTTCCCATTACATTTAAGAATTTTTGTTGGGTACGAATATATGATGGGTAAGATGCCATAGGCTAAATATTGCATTTTATTCTGTGGCAACACAGATGTTTATGATGTGAGAGCTGTAGGTGAATGTGTACTGATTCAATGAGAGTTAACGAACAAACAGAACTGGGAATCCCTAGTTTAAGAATCCAGAGAACTACCTTAAACTGATATGTGAGCAGGTGCTAGGAGTGAGGCCAGGACCACTGAACCCACTGCCATTTATTGACCCCTTAACCTCACAGATATGGGTTGGCTGTGTCCCCACCCAAATCTCATCTTGAATTCCCAAGTGTTGTGGGAGGGACCCAGTGGGAGGTAATTGAATCATGGAGGCCAGTCTTTCCTGTGCTATTCTCATGATAGTGAATAAGTCTCATGAGATCTGATGGTTTTAAAAAGAGGAGTTCCCCTGCACAAGCTCTCTTTTTCTGATAGTGAGTTTGGCTGTGTCCCCACCAAAATCTCATCTTGAATTCCCACGGGTCATGGGAGGGACACAGTGGGAGGTAATTGAATCATGGAGGCAAGTCTTTCCTGTGGTGTTCTCATGGTAGTGAATAAGTCTCATGAGACCTGATGGTTTTAAAAAGAGGAGTTCCGGCTGGGTGTGGTGGCTCACGCCTGTAATCCCAACACTTTGGGAGGCCAAGGTGGGCAGATCACGAGGTCAGGAGATCAAGACCATCCTGGCCAACATGGTGAAACCCCATGTCTACTAAAAATATGAAAATTAGCTGGGCGTGGTGGTGCACGCCTGTGGTCCCAGTTACTCAGGAGGCTGAGGCAGGAGAATTGCTTGAACCTGGGAGACAGAGGTTGCAGTGAGCCGAGATATCGCCTCTGCACTCCAGCCTGGCAACAGAGCGAAACTCTGTCTAAAAAAAAACAAAAAACAAAAAAGGAGTTGCACAAGCTCTCTTTACCTGCCGCCATCCATGTAAGATGTGACTTGCTCCTCCTTGCCTTCCGCCATGATTGTGAGGCTTCCCCAGCCACATGGAACTCTGAGTTCTCCATTAAACCTCTTTTCTTTGTAAACTGCCCAGTCTTAGGTATGTCTTTGTCAGCAGGATGAAAACAGACTAATACACCCACCCTCACCCTTCCACTCCACCCAGGAAGCATAGCCCTGGGCAGCTTGAAATATGACCTCCGGTGTGGCAGCTACAGACCCTGTCACAACCTCCATGATGTCTAGGGCCATAAAATGTAAAAAGAGGAGACTGGCCTTCAAGGGATGGATAAGAATGGACCATAACGATAGAAAATGTTAGCTTGGTATAGTGGGGTGTAGTGACTCCAAGCCACTTGGAAAGACATCGGATTAACCCTCAATATCTATTTTCCCTTTAATAATCAAACTTCCCAAATTTAGTGGGGCAACGGTGACCAAGCTAAGCTTTTTATTTCCCCAATCTTCCTGGCAACAGATGTGCCATATGAGGAGATTGCAACCAATGAGATGTGAGTGAAAGAGACACCTGCCACTTCTGGATTACTTCGGTCCAAGGAAGCTGCTCACTGTGCTTTCTTTTCCCCTCATCTGGGCTGGAACCCGGATGTGGTGTTTGTGAGCCAGTTTTATTGGATGGGGACAGCATCTCAAGGGATGGCAGATGGCAACAGAGAAGGAGCCTGGGCCTCTGGGATAACCCTGTAGAGCAGGGCCAGTGTGCCACCCTGGATGCCCTACTACCTCAGACGTTCATATAAAAGAGAAATAAATCTACTATCTGGTCTAACCCACTGCTTTCCATCTCTGTTAAAACAGCCACACCAAATATACTAACTAATTGAAAAGTTGAATCTGAAACCAAAAGTGCACACAAATCCCAGGTGACCCACCCTATTTCTGGCCTTTATACCAAGTGGGCTCACGTAGTATTATAGAAGGCAGCAATGGTTTCTAAATCCCAGGATCATGGCTTGGCCAGCCACATCAGAATCAGCAAGCCGAGGAGCTTCTTAGAAAATGGATTCTGGGCCAGGCATGGTGGCTAACGCCTGTAATTCCAGCACTTTGGGAAGCCAAGGCAGGCAGATCACGAGGTCAGGAGTTTGAGATCAGCCTGACCAACATGGTGAAACCCTGTCTCTACTAAAAATACAAAAATTAGCCAGGTGTGGTGGTGTGTGCCTGTAATCCCAGCTACTCAGGAGGCTGAGGCAGGACAATCGCTTGAACCCAGGAGGCAGAGGTTGCAGTGAGCCGAGATCATGCCACTGCACTCCAGCCTGGGCAACAAGAGAAAACTCCATCCAAAAAAAAAAAAAAGAAAAGAAAAAAAAGAAAAAAGAAAAAGAAAATGGATTCTGGCTGGATGCAGTGGGCCTGGAGTCCCAGCACAACCCTTTCTCTAGAAAAAAATTTTTTTTTAATTAGCCAGGCATGGTTGTGTGCTCCTGGAGTCCTAGCTATAGGGAGGCCTGCGGCAGGAGGGTCACTTGAGCCTAGGAGGTCAAGGCTGCAGTGAGCTATGATCACACCACTACACTCCACCCTGGGTGACAGAGATACACCCTGTCTCTAAAAAAATGTTTGTAATGGATTCTTTGGCCCCCAACTCTGGAGTTTGCTATTCAGTAAACCCAACTCTGGAGTTTCCTATTCAGTAACCCGTAGAAGGGCTCTAACACCTATCATTTTATCCAGATAATTCTGATGTGCAGCTCCTGGACCATAACACTTACCCCAGGCATTTGCTACTTCCCTGCTCTCAGACCTCTGGTGTTCAGATCACCCTTGGACAGCTGCATTTTCTCCTGTTTGGGGGTCCGTTCGGAGTCTTCTCTCCAGCTTACCATCTTTGGCTCCCTACCTGCTTCTCACCAAGTGTACATCTTCCCCAGGTATGGCATCACCAACAGCTTCAAATAGGAGGCCTCCTACCACCAGCCAATGCCTGGAGGAGCTTCTCCCAGAGCAGCTCGCTGTCCTCCACAGTGCCAGCCTCCCTGCCAGGAAGAGGACTCAGACAAGGTGGGAAATGTGACAAGAAAAGCTCAGCTTGGACTGCCCTGCAATGGTGAGGGTAAACTATGTTGGCCTATTTTGTAATACCTGGAGAGAACCAGGGCTGCTAGAGTCCTTAGGAAATGAAAACCGCAGGAGGTTTTCCTATGTGCAGGCAAAGATTGCAGGCACAGCCGGTCCCAGGTGGTCACTCCCTCCAGCCCAGCTCCTCAACTCATATAAACACAAAGAACCCCTAGCAGTCCCCCAGGAAGTGATCTGCCACTCATGGGTAGTTGAGCCCTGAAGAGTTCTTGGTTACTTCCCTGAATTACTCCAGAGTATTTCTTGGACATGTCCTAGTAAAGATCCCCAAGGAATCCCTCTAAGTCTCCCATTTCCTACAAATCACCTGGAGGGCTTGTTACAACACAGATTGCTGGACTCAACCCCAGAGTTTCATCTTCAGTGGTTGCTGCAATCAAATGCTTGTTGAATTCCTGACCCTCAGTGTGATGCTATTAGAAGGTGGAGACTTTGGTGACTACCAAAGCTCTATCTTCATGAATGGGATCAGCACCCTTATCAAAGAGATTCTGGAGAGCTCCCTTGCCGATCCCACCATGTGAGGACACAGCAAGAAGGTGCCATGTATGAACCAGGAAGTGGACCCTCACCAGGCACAGTGCCTGCTCTGGGACTTCCCAGGCTCCAGAACTGAGAGAAATAAATGTCTGTTGTTTAAAAGCCACCCAGTCTATGGTACTGTATTATGGCAGCCCAAACAGACTCAAACAGAAGTTCTGGGGCAGGACCTGAGAATTTAGATGGCCAACAAGTGTCAGGTGATACTGAGGCTTCAGCAGGAACTTCTTGATGTGGCTCATACGGTTCAGGAAGATTAGTTCTCTCCAAGTGGAAAAGATCAAAAGGGTGGAAAGGGAACTGGGAAGAGGAGACAACACAATATCACGGACAATGGAACCTAGCAGAACTCTTGGATCTGATTCTGTCCTGCACTGGCTGTGTGGCCAATGCCTTTGACTTTGAAATTTTTTTTTCTGTAAAACTGGGGATACAGTACTTAGTTAATAGGGTTGTTGTGACAATTAAGTGAATAGTGTCTATGAAGCTCCTGCAGTGCCTGACTCAGGTATGCAGTACATGGCCAGGAAATGGTATTTCAAGCCCCTACCTCAGTTTCCCACAATTGGGCCCTAGTGAGTTTGATGACATTGTTTAAAAAAAAAAATCTCAGGGGTCATTAGACCCCAAATGTGGATCGACTCTTTTATTATGAGTCCTAGAGTGAAGGAAAGCTCTTATCCTCATAATTTACACTGCAACATTCTATGAACATTTTCTGCTTTACCTAAATAGTTCTCTGTGATCAACTCACCCACTAGACAGAGGGAATGAATTTCATTTTCGTTGAAATTACACATAAAAAAGGGATGTTTTCCAGGAAGACGTCGTTATAACTTTGGTAATTTACATCAGCAGCTGACTTGCCCTGTAGGGAGTTTTCATTGTCCTTTCCAGTGAAAATGTGAGAGGAAGCGATGTGGTCAAAGTCTGTAAAATCCTAGCATTAGCACCCCCAAGAGCTTCAAGTGTCTGCCAGCCCTCCCTTCTAAAACAGCAAAGCTGGGAGCTCAGTTGCCTCCCTATGCTGAGATCCTAGCTTCTGTACATGGAACCTCCTGAAAAATCAACCATGCCTTTTTCTGTTTTTCAGGAGTTGGTTGTACAATTTGTGAACTACCCAGATGTTTTGCTTCTACCTTCTCTTTTCTTGGGAGCCATTTCTTTTTTACCTCTTCAAATCCCTGGTAGAGGTTGGGCACAGTGCCTCATGCCTGTAGTCCCAGCACTTTGGGAGGCTGAGGCAGGTGGATGCTTGAGCCCAGGAGTTCGACACCAGCCTGGGCACCACAGTAAAACCCCGTCTCTACAAAAAATACAAAAATTAGCCCAGCATGGTGGTGCACACCTGTAGTCCCAGTTACTCAGGAGACTGAGGTGGGAGGATCACCTGAGCCAGGGAAGTTGAGCCGGTTTACCACTGCACTGCAGTCTGGGCAATAGAGTGAGACCCTGCTTAAAAACAAACAAACAAACAGACAGACAAATAACAAATAACAAATAAAACACTAGTGGAGTGTTTTTTACACAGTTGGCTCAATAAATATCACTGTCTGGCTGAGTAATGTCTTTGGCCTGCCTTTTCAACATTTTTCTGTTCATAAGCTCCAAAGGAGTCAGAAAAAAACTAAAGGAAAGGACCACCAAAACAGGTGGCACTGATAGATGTGTGGAACAGACTCTGTGAGGCTGGGTGGTGGGAAAATCTTATGAAAGCCAGAAAGATTGACGCTAGCGGCTCAGTAGCCATATTGAAGAATTGCCAAGACTAACCCATCCAGGTTCTTCCCTACCCACTGTTGCTGCGGTAGGACTTTCAGATCCCCTTGCGGTTATTTCACCTAATGGCTTTCCCACTGTGTTCACCAACTTGTTTAGAAAACATTCTTCTCCTACAAAAGGCAGCAGAGTGGGAGGGTGGGAAGGGCTGAGAGCTGAAAAACTACTATTGGGTACAACGCTCACTCTTCGGGTGATGGGTGCACTAGGAGCCAAGACTTCACTACGACACTATATGAGCAGGTAAGAAACCTGCACTTGTACTTCCTAAATATATTTTAAAAAAATTTTTTTAAAAAGCAAACTTTCCTAGAGCAAGGTTCTGAGCAATGAGTCGATGCTCTGTGGAGGTAACAAAAGTGGCCCATTAGGAGCCCACAGAGGTAGTTAAAGTGGTCTATGATTGCAATAGGAGAGCAGGACTAACGAGAGGAAATGGCTTGACTCTGAGCATCCCAATTCATAACCTGTCTCCTTTCAGGGTTTCCTCTTGCAATGAATAGCACCATCATCCATCTAGTGGTTCAAACCAGTAATCCAGGAGTAATTTCTGGCATCTCCCTCTCTCTCAAACCCTCCCTTCTCCCATATTCAATCCAGCATTATGTCCTACCCGTTCAAGTTTAGCACATCAGTATCTCTCACATCAATCAGTTTTCCGTACCTTCTGCACCACCCCTGTCCAAGCCATCACCTTCATGCCGAACCTGTGACAGCCTCCCAGCTTGCCTGCCTGTGGCCATGTCCATCCCTTCCACTGTGGCAGAGCGGCCTTTCCACGTGCCATCTGATTGTGTTACATCTCTTCGTAAAAGCATTCAGTGGCTTCCATTTGCTTTTAGGATAAAGATGAAACTTTACGTGACCTTGCACAGTCTCGACATTGACACAGTGCCTGGTGCGTAGGGGACCCCTTAATAGGTGTTGAGTAATGAATACGCCACATCTAGCTGTTGAATACGTGAATAAATCAATGAGTGGGTAGATGGATGAGTATGCCTTAGGACTTCCCCTTAGGACTGTGCAAAATCTCTCCAGCCACCAGCTGAATCTAGAAGGAGTCTTCATGCCCCGACAACAGACACAAGGCTCTAATTAGAAGCTAAGTCCTACTGTGGCCCGGTGTTGTGGATCTCAGTTCACAAATCACTCTCCTCACACATCCCACACCTGATCCTTGGATTCCTTTTTCTATAACCCACCCTGGCAATGATTGGATCACCTCATGCGTTTCTCTTGATGCATAATCTTACTTCTCAGGACTTAGGATCCTGGCTGTCTTCTGAATATGCTCTCATGATCTATCATGGCTGCTGTGCTCCTCCAATGTTACCCATCCCTTGGGCCCCCTCCTTTCTTTTTTTCCTCACATGGGCAGCTCCTACCTAGCTCAACCTAGGTGCACGGGAAAGGCCCACACATAGCCAAGGCCCTGAACTTTTCAGATGTCTGGGTCCCTGACCCCAGAGACATTAGTTTGGTATCTCTTGGAAGGGTTCCAGAATCTGCATGTTAACCAGCACTCCAGATAATGTATTGTGCTGCAACTAGGCCATAGAACCTACCCCAGGGATTTGCCCAGGAGTGTCTTCTGCTAATTCTCTTCTCTCAGCTCCCTGTACCTGCAGGCCGGATGGCACCTTCTTCTATACCAAAGTCTGAAGGGGATAGCCTAGCTATCCCTGTATGGGCACAGTGGCTCACGCCTGTAATCTCAGCACTTTGGGAGGCCGAGGCGGGCAGATCACGAGGTCAGGAGTTCGAGACAAGCCTGACCAACATAATGAAACCCTGTCTCTGCTAAAAATACAAAAATTAGCCGCGTGTGGTGGCGCACGCCTGTAATCCCAGCTACTCAGGAGGCTGAGGCAGGAGAATCGTTTGAACCCGGGAGGTGGAGGTTGCAGTGAGCTGAAATGGCACCACCGCACTCCAGCCTGGGCAACAGAGGAAGACTCTGTCTCAAAAAAAAAAAAAAGAAAAAGAAATAGTTCTCCCTCCAATACAGTGTTTCTAGAACCATGAAGTACTACCAAACTACAGTTTCATGGATAACATAGTCTAAATTCTATTTGGGACTAGAGTTTTAATAGAACAAGAAACAACGAGACTCTTTCTTCACACTGTATGGTCATTATCATGAAACACGTGATCAGTTTATACTTTACAATTCTGAGTATCCCTCACATAAAAGAACATCTTATGAAGATATTAGCATAGGTTCTGGCACAGTACAGATGCTCAGTAAATATTATTTGAATGAAGAAATGATTTAAATTTTTTCTCCTCCACCAAAAAACACCCTCTCCAATAGTTATATTAATGGGTTGCCTTTGAAATCAGGGTTGACAATTGTACGGATGTCCTCATAAGCACTTTTCCATTTTCTATATTTGGAAGTTGAAGGTCAAACACCAAGCAACTGAATCCTATCTGACTGAAAGCAGACTTACTAGTTGGGCTCAGTGTCTTGGCTTCTGATAAGATGAAATATTAATCAGACCATTGATTGTGTTTTGAAACTGTCTCTTTTTATATCTAAAAGCTATCCAAGTACACTTAAGATACCATGGCTTTCACAGTTTACTCTGAAGGCCCTACCAATCAAATGTTGGAAGAGCTTTGGTTTAAGTCAGATGACTATTTCTTTCATGTTTGGAAAGATAAATGATAATATATCAGGACTGGAAAATAGCGAGGTAGCATGGGATGCTGACTCCCTCCAGTGACCCTAACCTGGAGACACTCCAGAAGAGGTGGGAGGCTGAGTCTGGAGGACCGCAGAGCCAAACTCAGCAACTAACATGGTACAGTGTGGTCTAGAGTGGAAGGCAGTCAGAGCCACTGGACTCCTTCTCTCCTATTGTTCCCGTTTCCCTCCGTTGTATCTGCCTGGGGAGATCCCCTTGTACAGGAACACTAGCCCAGAGCCTAGGGCAAGTGGGGCTGGAGAGGTAACATGAGGGCAACATCAGCACCTGCTGGAATAGGAAACATGGCAGAGACACAGGCAGGCTGGCAGGAGTCTGAGCATCTTCTCCCTGCCACCACCTACAACCACCTTTCCTGAGACAGAAGTCCTGGGTAGTTCCCTGCAGGGGTGGATGATGCAGAAAGTAGGGAAAATAGAAAGTAGTGGAACAAGTATGCAATGAGGGTCTGTTCAACTGTAGAGGGAGCCCCACTCCCCAAACCGAAAGGAGCCTGAAAAGCACAAGCAAGGCTTTCTACCGTCTCCCACTAAAGGCAAACACTGGAGCCAATGCCGTTGAGAGTCCCAACACAATAAAAGATGAGTTCACCGAGAAAAACAGCAAAACCCTGCTCCAGAGGAAGCAAAAGTAATGGGAAAGACAGAATAAGAATTTTAAACGAGCACAATTAATAGCCTCCAACATAAATGGGAGGACATTGGATACCTGCGAGAGGCACAAGTGACTATGAAGATAAAGCTATTAGAAATAGTGTACACAGAAATGTATAATTTTCCAAGTAAAAGATTTGCTGGTAGATTAAATATCAGAATGGATACAGATGCAGAAAGATGTAGTGAGCTGGAATATCAAGTCAGAGAACTCCCAAAGAAAGCATCAGGAAAGGAAAGAATGTGAGAAAAGCTAAGCAGTATGGAAAACAGAAGTAAAGCTGTCACTCTCTGCACAATCGGAGTCCTCAAAGGAAAGAAGAAAAGTGAACAGGGAGAAAAATCCTTGAAGAAATAATTTTCGGAATTAGAGAAAGGTTGAACGCTTCAGAGGAAAAGGTCTCACCCAGTGTTAAACAAGATCGAAAAGGGTGGGGAAAAACAAAATTAGATACTACACAGTGAAACGTAAGAATATCAGTCCTAAAGAGAAAATTGTAAAGGCTGACAGAGGGAAGAAACAGTCACCTTAAAAGGAGCAAGAATCGGATTGCTATGAGAATTCTTGACGGCAGTGGAAGAACATCTTCAAAATAGTGAAGATAAGGAACTTTGAACCTAAACATTTACATTCAGCCCATCTTTTACTTAAATGTGAGTGCAAAATGAAGATGTTTTTAATCATACTGAGTCTAAGGGAAATTTATGCCACAGTTTCATGCCCCTTTGAAAGAATTCTTGGGGGATACACTTCAAGAAGGGAAACTAATCCAGAAAGAAGCAACAAGATATTAGGAACTAAAAAGAAGTAAAGTACTGTTACATGATACAACATGAGGCGATCTTGAAAATACTATGCTAAGTGTAAGGAACTAGTCACGAAAGGCCACATAGTATATGACTCCATTTATATGAAATGTCCAGAACAGGCAAATTCATAGAGACAAACTAATTCATAGATTAGTGATTGTCAGGGACCAACGGGAGTAGGTGGGTAGTAACTACTAATAGGTGTGGGGTTTCTTTTGCAGCGTGGTGAAAATGTTCTGGAATTAGATAGTGGTGATGGTTTCACAACCTCGTGAATATATTAAAAACCACTGAGCTGTATACTTTGAAAATAATTTTTAAATAAACAGATAAAATAAATATTAGGAAAGTCAATTTAAAAACAGAAATAAGCTGGGTGCAGTGATTCACACCTATAATCCCAGCAACTTGGGAGGCTGAGGCGGGAGGATCACTTGAGCTCAGGAGTTCAAGGCTACAATGAGCTACGATCACGCCACTGCACTCCAGTCTAGTTGACAGAGCAAGATCCTGTCTCTTAAAACAAAAACAAAAAACAGATGAAATTACTGCAAATTTGATTTTGCCACAGTACCAAAAAACAAAAAAGCATGAGGAATGATTCTCCCTTCCACCTCCCCACCCAACAAAAATATCTATAGCAGACCAGTCTTAGAGCTCCAGAGAATAGTAACGTGCCAGGAAAGAGGGTGAAGGAAGATGAGACCAAAAATCATACCGTCTTAGTCTGTTTTCTGTTGTTTTTAACAGAGTACCTGAAACTGGGTAATTTATAAAGAAAAGGAATTTATTTCCTACCCTTCTGGAGGCTGAGAAGTCCAAGGTTAGAGGGAGCGCATCTGGCGAGACCCTTCTTGCTAGTGGGAACTCTTTATAGAGTCTTGAGGCAGTGCAGAGCATTACGTGGCAAGGGGGCCTAGTGAGCTACCATGTTAGCTCAGGTCTCTCTTCCTCTTAAGAAGCCACCAGTTCCACACCAGTGATAACCCATTAATCCATTAACCATTAATCCATTCATGGAGCCAGAAACCTCAGGATCTGATCACCTCTTAGCAGCCCCACCTCTCAATACTGCCACATTAAGGATTAAATTTCAATATGAGTTTTGGAGGAGATAGACTAACAATGGTACATATTAAGAGTTTCTTCTCATTCAGGGGAAAGATAAAAATTTTTATACACTTTAAGCATTGATAGGGAAAAAGAAATGTAAGTGGAAATCTAAATAAAGCTGGGGATAACCACCAGAGAAACAGCAACATCTGATGTAGGTGTGCCCAAGCATTTTTCACATATTATAATACATATTTGTTTTTTGATAAATTATTTTCCTTTTATTTATGCTCTTTATAGTCTTAACAAATTCATATACTATATATAAATGAAATATATAGTATATAAATAAAATATATTTTATATCAGTACATAAATTTAAAATATTTTTATTTGCTATATATTTACATATAATATTATATTTATAAGTACACTTTATATTTAAAGTGCATTATATTTGGAGATATATTTTCTATAAATTTTATATCCAGGTAGTAAATGGAGCATTGCAAACTTTTTGGGGTTTTTTTTTTAGAGACGAGGTCTCTCTATGTTGCCCAGGCTGACCTCGGTTCAAGCAATCCTCCTGTCTCAGCCTCATGAGTAGCTGGGGTTACAGGAGCAACCTACCACGCCTGGCTCAAACTATTATCTCTGTGTTTAATGGGGCTGATAAGCAACTAAGCCATCCTTGGATTTCTTCTTGCTAACTGGTATCTTTCTCGCTTGTTTCTCTGTTTTTTGTTAGTTTGTCTGATTCTCACCACTAGAAAGCAAGCTCCGTGGAAAGCATGCTCATTGCCTGCCTGTCATCTGCCTTATCCGGAATGCCTAGCATCTGCCCCACCCGCCACCCTCGTGGGTACCTTCCGTCCCATCCCCCCCACTCCTGGCCGATGGCCCCACACGCCACCCTCGTGGGTACCTTCCGTCCCACCACCCCCCCACTCCTGGCCGATGGCCCCTCCCGCCACCCTCCTGGGTACCTTCCGTCCCACCCCCCCACACTCCTGGCCGATGGCCCCACCCGCCACCCTCGTGGGTACCTTCCGTCCCACCCCCCACACTCCTGGCCAAGGCAGCTACGGGCTGGAAACTTCTCCCAAAAAGCCAGGCCCGTTCAGCTGGGAATCCCCACAAAATGAGAATGAGGGGATTGAAAGTGTTTTTGTTCGAAGAGCTCTGGCATGGAGGCCACAGTCCTTCCATGAAATGTAACAAAGCGGGGCAGTTCACTCCTGAACACTTACCCGCACTGTACAGCAGAAGCTGCTTGGGATGAGCGACTGCTACAGGAGGTACGGGCTTCACCTGCTTTGCACTTTAAATGATTCCCAGCACAGCCTCTTCACAACATGCATTGTCCCTTTGCAGCAGAAAGTTACGTCCAGATTCTCCCAAGCACCACCCCATCCCAGACATTCCTGTCAACACCCTACCAAGAGGGTTAGAGCCTTGCAGACAAACAGATCGGCTTGATGTGGGGAGGGGACTCAGTTCAAGCACAGCCCCTGGGGACAGAGTAGAAGATTTTTTTTCCCTTTTTTTCAGATAGTGAGCATAGTACCCAATAAGTAGCAGACTGTATCAGCAGCTCAAGCTGTGTAGAAGACCGCCTTGGAGGCTGGGCATGGTGGCCTGTAATGCCAGCACTTTGGGAGGCCAAAGCGGGAGAATCACTTGAGGCCAGGAGTTTGAGATCAGCTTGGGCAACATAGTGAGACCCCATCTCTACAAAAAAATTTAAAAATTAGCCAGGCGTGGTAGTGCATGCTTACAGTCCGAGTTACTGGGGAGGCTAAGGCAGAAGGATTGCTTGAGCCCAGTAGGTGGAGGCTGCAGTGAGCCATGATGGCAGCATTGCCTGGGCAACTGAACAAGACCCTGTCTCAAAAAAAAAAAGTGTTGATTACACAAGGATAATAATGATTCCTTCCTAGGACTGGCTATAGGGATAAATGAGAAAACATATTTCAAGTGCCTGACTGTGTCTAGCATGTTGTCAGCAGTCAATAAACAACTGATAAATAGAGTAAGAATGAATGTGCCTAGTCCAGTGTCTGCCTCATGGTTGTCACTTACCAGAAGGCAGCAGGCAGCTCTTAGGAGAAGAGAGAAACGGAAAATCCGAGTTTGAAGGAGGTGGGTCAAGAACAGCAAAGAACTGTAGAGCAGAGGGTTCTTGACAATATCTGTAAAAATAAATTTTTATAAAATAAATTCATCTGGGGAATCTCTTTATTTTGATAAAGTGATTTCTTACTTGATAAAAAAGTCATTATAGAATTGCTTTAAAAAGTAAATCTTTTTCAAGATATCATTCCACGTATCACAATTTTACTTACACGCCACTTCCCTGAGCAAATTTATTTCTTGCAGTGACTCACATCTATATTAATATTTTAAATATCTTAATAATATAAAAATGGTGAATGGACGCTCACTACTTCCCTGGGGAAGATTAGAAGAAATTAGCTTAATTCTAGTAAGAAGGGCTTAGCATAGGCATGAGGAAGAGCATATTGGTATTAAGAGCAGTCACAAACACAACGAAATTAAATTTGTTATGTGAATACCTTCATATAAATCATTAGACACCAAAGTAGCTTCTGACTTTAACGGGCTATTTCAGAATCAAGGGAGTCGATTAGTGGAGATCCCTTGATATTCACAATTTCTATATTTTGCAAATGCACTTCCCATCTCCTTATTGGACATCTTTAGATTGGAAAGGAATCCGAATGGTCATTTCATTGAATCCTAGCACTTTCACAGGTGGCACCTGAGACCCCAGGAGGTGGAGCTGATTTGGCAAAGGTTGCACAGCCAGTTGACTATGCACTTGGGGTGGGAGACCACACCTCGTATAAAAATTTATTTCAATGTTCTCTCTGCTGTACTGTGTTATTACCACCCTTTTATGCTCTTTCACTGCTGGACTTAGTCTATTCCTTCAGCTACACCCTCTATACTAAATCCCAGTTGAACCCCAAACACCTTTCTGAGCCTCGTTGCTCAGTGTCAGTGGTCCCCGGTGGTTCAACACTTTTCTCATTCTACTTTGTCGAGACCCTAATCTTAAAGCAAAGGCTCCATCTCCTTCAATGTTACCTTTGATGGAAAATAAGTTCAACATGTTTAACAACAATATTCATGATATTTGATTCTAGTCATGAGGTGTTGCAGGTGTAACTTACGACTTTCACCATTGAAACCATAATTTCTAGAAATGGAAAGAGTAATGTGAGAAAATATTCTCACCACTGGTGAAAAATCACGTTTTCACAGGGTTTGCAAACAGGGAAATATTTGTGGTTTTGTCTCATATGTTTTGCTTTTTTTGGCAAAAGCAAAAGGCAGTTTTCTTTGCAATGAAAACGGCCTTTCGTTTTCGCCAATGCCTCACATCCATTTTTGCCAAGCAAAAAGCTGTTTTCCCAGGAGAAAACAGCTCAAGCTGAAAGAAAAGTGAAGCACAGTTTGTAAAATTTCCCTCTTAGAAAACAAAAATCACTCCACTCAATGCAAATGCCACCTGAGGGCCCTTGCATGGAGAAAGATAATGAGGGAGTCATGGTTGAACATATATGTAAACAAGCTTATCTAGAAAATAAAAAAAAAAGCCCAAAGTCACATGGGTGGCAGTTTTTAAATTATGCCCAGAATTAGTAGGAGTCCTGTCTTTACCTCTGTGGTCCAAATGTGCCTGCAGAAAACTCCTAACATGCTGTTTGTTGGTTTCCGTATGTCATTTATTCTGGGATGGCTTCTGTATTAATAATGACATTTTCCATCTTGTTATTACACCATGATCCATTTTGACACTCCCCATTTGACACTCCTAATTTGGACGCTTTCCAAATTAGGAAAGGCAGGCATTATCTCCGTTTTATGTAAGTTCGCCCAACATGTAGTGGCAAGGAAGGTGTGTTGCCCACGTGGCTGGTTTACACAAGGAGACTGAGGCCCGCTTGAGTTACTTTGCCAAGGTGATTTAGCGCCGGAATCTGGACCACAGTCCAGGTCTTCCGATTCCCTGTTCTTTGTGCTTCACCCTAGTTCTCTTCATAATAAACTCTGATCAGAATTTCCCAGTGTGACCGTGGAATTCATTCTTATTTTCGTTCTGTTTTGTTTTGCTTTGCATTTCCCTGAGGATGAAATCTGTAAACCTTTTGATGTGTCATAGCATAGCCTTCAGCAGGCCATCATTGCTGCTAGAAAGATAACTTCATTGTGAAAAAAATCTAAAGTTTCCAGTAGCCATTCCCATTGCAAATAGATGATACAGCAACTGTCACCTTTATAGAAGTGGACCATTTATTATATAGAAAAATAAAAAGATTGAAACCAGTTTTGTTGAACAGCAATATTTAATGAGCTATTCCTTGAGACAGCCACTGGGGATTTTTTTTAATACCATATATTAAAACAAAAGCTGTAACCAGATTGCAAAATGACCCTCAAGTTCTTAATTTGTTTAAAATAAGACATTTTTTTTCTAAATTTCCACATCTATCAGAATTCTTGTTTCATAGCTTATTATTTCCCATTCAAGCAGCCACAAAAGATATAAGCAAATATTTTACATATATTTCAATCCTAGATGTGGACATTCAGGTAAATCTTGGTGTGTCGTAAACATACCTCCATTTGCCCCGCTATCCATTTATTCCTAACCGCCCTCTCTGAATAAAAGCTCAAGTCATAGCTCCTAGGAGAGCATTAGACTTCTCTGATCTTCCACCTTTTCCAATTTCTCCATCTGTGCTAATCTGCACAACAAAATTTACCACTTACATCACAGAAATGCACTCTTAAAAATGGTAAAGTTTATGGTAAATTTTATATGCATATTTACTCCAACCAAAAAAAATTAGAAAAAAAGTATGGTTTTATTTTAACCAAGGCCATGTTTAAGTCTAAAGAGTTTAAAAATAAAGCACTTATATAATTTTTTCCCTTAAAAAATGTACCACTTAACTGAATATTGCCTGGATTGTTTCACATGTATACATTAAATCTTTCTAACTCATTGAGAGAAACTTCCTGAAAGCTTAAACCATATCTCAACCTTTTAAGTCTCTCTCAAGACTTCTAACAGTACTGTAGCACAGCAGAGCATACATTCATAATTATTGATTAAAGAGAATTTTCATAAAACACACCTCAATTTGATGCTTCTCTTAAAGGTTTCAATAGATAGGGGGAAGGCAGCTTCATGGAAAATCATAAAATCTCATCTTACTGCATTTTATCTCAAAATTCTCAATTAATACCAATTAACCACTTTTTTTTTTTCTTTTTTGAGGTAGAGTTTTGCCCTGTCACCCAGGCCAGAGTACAGTGGCATGATCGTGGCTCACTGCAGCCTAAAGTTCCTGGGTTCAAGCTATCCTCCTGCCTCAGCCTCCTCTGTAGCTGAGATTACAGGCGCATCCTACCACACCCAGCTAATTTTTTAGTGTTTTTTTCTTTTGTAGCAATGGGATCTTGCTATGTTGCCCAGGCTGGTCTGGAACTCCTGGGCTCAAGCCATCCACCAGCCTCGGCTTCCAAAAGTGCTGGAAGTACAAGCATGAGCCACTGCACCTGGCCCCACTTTATTCTTTATTCTTCATTATGCTTCACATTTGTAAGGAGGAGATTTCACAGAAGCAAAAACAGAGCATACCCTCTGGTAGTAAACAGCAATTTGCAGTAATGAACTCTGATACCTTGGACAGCGCCTTGGCACGTTGTGTGGTTCAACATTCATTCAATTGACTGAGTGGGATATTTGATTAAGTGAGCCTTCAGACAGCAAACAACTAGGAGAAGAGGAGTGGGCAGGGATGGGAGCCGCAGGAAAGACGGCAAAACAGTGATACTCAATTAGTGCATTAGTGCACTTCAGAAACCCCTAGGGTACCACTTGGAAGCCTGAGGCTTCCTGTCTCTGTATATCACAGGAGGCTGGGGGCTCCCCAGAGTCTACATCAGCCAGATGATGGCAGGACATCTGGAGCATGTCTGCCAGTGCTGAGTTGTCCCTACACTGACAAGGGGTGAGGAGGCTGGGGCCAACTCTAGCCCACGTGGCTCTGATGCGTAGAAGCTGCTTGCCTTCCAGCATGCCCTCAGTTCCGCCAGGGCAGGGTCAGTGTCTGTCCTCCTTCCCTCTCCAAAGCGAGTGTTAAGAAGCTGACATTTATCAAAATGAACAGACACCTGCTGCCAGTGACTTGTGCCCTGAATAAGGGCACTCAGAAGAGCATCTAGAGAGTTTGCGATGAGAATCAGAGGCTCTCGATATTAGGAATCTCCACACACAAGTTTTCACTTGCTGTGCATGGCATTTATGATAACCAGCCATACCCCTGCAAGGAGGAAATCCTTATTTCCATGCTTTTACTCTGGGGAGAGGATGGTAAGAAAAAGTCTGCAGGTTTCTTCTTGAGGTATATCCCAGAGTCTCAGCTTTTTGTTCCTTATTTCTCATATACAGCAGTTCATTTGTATTCCACTGGGCTTCTGCACACAAAATTCATCTCTGTGTGGGTGGAAGTAGCCCCAACTTACTTCCGTGCTGTTCACAGAGTTATTTTCATTATTGGTACATTATGTGCTATCTCTGAAACTCACTGTACTTGGAGAAACAAGTGTTGGACTCTGGAGGGGTAAAATCTAGTTTAATTGCCTTAACTCTCTTGTTGCCATCAGGGTAAGCATTGTTCCCCATCACCCCTCATTGCATGTCTATATCACTAAACCTGGGTCTGTACCTTCAGTAATGAAACTGGTGTGCATGGCAGGGACTTAGAATTCAAATTGTGCTCCATGCCCTCCATTTCTATCATGCAACTGCAAATTAGTAAACTAATCTGGCATGTTCCTTAGCCTCTGCTGAAAAACAGTCAGACACCATGCAAGTTCCTAAACTTGATCTTAAACATAATCGCAAACACAAGTGAGGATTTGGCCTGGTAGGGGGGAGAGAGAGCTGGCATTTGTTGAATGCCTTCCATGGGCTACACATTTCCACCAGTCTTATTTCATTCATCATGCCCACGCTAGCTCTAGAAGGTGAATCTTGCTAACATTATCTGGTAGATTAGAAAATGGAGGTATGGAGAGGTGAAACAATTTGCCAATGTTCATGCAGCTAATCAGTGGCCGAGCCAGGATTTCAATCCAGGACTGCCTCCTTCCACATCTCCACCCTTTCTTCCCTGCTCTGCTGCCTCTCCTGGTGAATGCAGGACCTGTGAGACAGGGGCTGAAATGAAGCATCACTTGCAGTACAGCAAAATAAAAAGCCCAGTGGACCTGTTCAGGATGTCACAAATGCATTCCACGCTGCCCTACACATAATGCTGCAGTGTTCACAGAAAGAAGCAAGCCTCCTTTCCACCAAACCCCCGGGGAGGCAGCTGAGGTATAGCTGGGTCCCTACATACTCTTTCTATCATGTTCTCAGGCATTTTAAGGCATGATTAGCCTTAAATTATTCCCTAATATTAGACTCTGGTTTTCCTGCTTCCAGAGATAACAGGATATACCCAAGAGGGCTACAAAAAAATTAAAACAGCATTCCTTTTAAAACTAAGCTTTCAGAGTCAAGAACATGAAAGTTCTGTCTCGACAGGCTCTAGAAGCAGCCTGTCCAGGTCCAAATGTGAGCTCTGCCACTTACTACCTGATGAACCTTGGCCCAGTTGCTCCCCCTTTCTGTGTCTCAGTTTCCTCATCTGTGAGGGTGGGAATCATAACAGTACATATTTCACAAGGTCGTGGTGGGATTGCTCGAGTTAAGCTACGTGCAGCGCTAAGATGCTAGCTGACCCTTGGAAAGGACCTGTTAGCCATTGCTGCCTTATAGGCACATTTTCCCCTTGCCCTTGAGCCAGTGACCCTTGAGAGATTTCTCCGCTTCTTCTAGATCCATGACATGGTTGACAGGACTCCTTACGAGCACTTAGACTTACTGGGCTTGGGAGATTCAGTTTTTGTTTTCTGTTCAATATGCCATTGATACAGGCCTAGGGGCTGGGCATCGTGGCTCACGCCTGTAATCCCAGCACTTTGGGAGACCAAGGCGGGTGGATCACCTGAGGTCAGGAGTTCAAGACCAACCTGACCAACATGGTGAAACCTCATCCCTACTAAAAATACAAAAAATTAGCCAGGTGTGGTAGCGGGTGCCTGTAATCCCAGCTACTCGGGCGGCTGAGGCAGGAGAATTGCTTGAACTCAGGAGGCAGCGGTTGCAGTGAGCCGAGATTGTGCCTCTGCACTCCAGCTTGGGCAATAAGAGTGAGACTCTGTCTAAAAGAAAGAAAGGAAGACAGACAGACAGAAAGAAAGAAAGAAAAGAAAGAAAGAAAGGAAGAAAGAAAGACAAAGAAAGAAAGAAAGAAAAGAAAGAAAGGAAAGAAAGAAAGAAAGAAAGAAAGAAAGAAAGAAAGAAAGAAAGAAAAAAGAAAGAAAGAGAAAGAAAGAAAGAAAGAAAGAAAGAAAGAAAGAAAGAAAGAAAGAAAGAAAGAAAGAAAGAAAGAAAGAAGAAAGAGCGAGCGAGCCTGTAATCCCAGCACTTTGGGAGGCTGAGGTGGGTGGATCAACAGGTCAGGAGATCAAGACCATCCTGGCTAACGTGGTGAAACCCCATCTCTACTAAAAATACAAAAAATTAGCTGGGCATGGTGGCAGGCGCCTGTAGTCCCAGCTACTCGGGAGGCTGAGGCAGGAGAATGGCGTGAACCTGGGAGGCAGAGCTTACAGTGAGCCGAGATCGCGCCACTGCACTCCAGCCTGGGCGACAGAGGGAGACTCCGTCTAAAAAAAAAAAGGAAAAAGAAAGAAAGAAACAACAAAGAAAGAAAAGAAAGAAAGAAAACAAAAAAAACAGGCCCAGGTTCTCTCCTTTGTATCCATGGATTTATCCCTCCTTTCAGGCTTCTGTTATGTGGGAAAGGCAAGAAGGCAGTTTTCAAGGCCTTGTGCTGATAATGCCTCTGACTGAGAATAGAACCTACGTCACATCCTTCTCATTGGCCTTTCCCTGGCATCTCTCTTGACAATGCTCCATTCCATCTTACCCCCATATCCTAGGCCGTGGATGTGTTCTGTGTCCTACGATTGTCTTAGAGCCTCCAAAAGAATCACTGAAAGTTCTTGGTCTCAAGGACCTTCCAGCCTGTATCCTTTTGTTAGTCTTTCAACTTCCTTTGCGTTGACAAGAACCCTACCTGTTGACTGGCTGTCTTTCTGCTGGTAATAGTCTGGCATCCATGTATATATTCAGACAAGTTTGCTGAAGTGGGCAATGTTTATTCTATCCTTGTAGCTTAATGTGGCTGTAGTTAAGAAACATGCCTGAATGTATTCCAAGACAATGATTTGTCCTGTCTCTTTTCTCCTCCATTTTTACAAGTTGACATGTTTGGAAATGTGCAATGAGATGTTTTCTTAAAATCATGTTCAACATTTAAGGATGACTGGCCCACATTTGGGGGGCCACGCGTTGTTTTCAGCACGGCAAAAAATGCAAAGAACAAAGCAGACAAGTCCTCTGCTCTGGTGGAACGTGCATTCTAAGGGAAGAAATGGCCAATACACAGAAGAGGACCAAACAAGCAGGATCATTTGTGTTGAGTGCTGTGGGGGAACAAAGGACGAGCAGGAGGCAGAGCAGAAAGCTGGAGGAGGCTGAACAGGGGGATCTGACAGAGAAAAAGGTGGCAGCACCAGGGCGAGAGTAAGCACGTGGGAAAGTCCTTTTTGAAGCAGTGACATTTAAGTTGAGGCCTAAAGGGAAGAGAGAGCCAGCACTTAAAAGTCAGGGGAGGGCCGGGCGCGGTGCCTCGTGCCTGCAATCCCAGCACTTTGGGAGGCAGGTGGGTGGATCACCTGAGGTCAGGAGTTCGAGACCAGCCCGACTAACATGGTGAAACTTGATCTCTACTAAAAATACAAAAATGAGCCAGTTGTCGTGGTGCATGCCTGTAATCCCAGCTACTCGGGAGGCTGAGGCAGGAGAATCATTTGAACCCAGGATGCGGAGGCTGCAGTGAGCTGAAATCGCACCACTGCACTCTAGCCTGGGCAACAGAGTGAGACTCTGTCTCAAAAAAAAAAAAAAAATTGGGGGGACACATTCCAGGTAGAATCAACAGCAAGTACAAAGTTCCTAAGGCAGAGAAGACTATAATATTCAAGCCAGAGAAGGAGGGCAGGGGTACAGCACAGGATTGGAGATGTGGACAGCTGTCACATCACACAGGGCCTTGGGGACCATGGTAAGGAGGTTGCATTTGATGATGAAAACATGTCTAACATATTAGCAACTCACACCGCAGGCTGGGCTCCCCACGAAGATCCTTCCTTCCTTTCATATGGCAGACACTTCCTCCAACTTTAACAATAATTGCCTACACCAGAATTTTTCAACAATGCTAAATTAAAGAAGAAAAAGCAGAGGAAGGAAGCAAGTTTTAAAGAAACTTTGCCAATCTAGATGGAAAGGGGAAAAAATACATCTTTAGTCCCTGTGCTCCTATTTTTAAAGCTGTGGTGGCTCTCATCTGGTGTGTTAAAGATGACAAAGATTGGTCAGTGAACAGCAAATTCAGTTCCTTTGAGTAACAGTTTTAATTGCTTTAATGTGAATTCTGGGTATCGGAAAGAGAAAAGTTTATCTGTTACAGACCCATTCAAAATTCCAGACACAATTCATTAATTCTTTTAGATAAATAACGTAGTTTGTTCCTTGTTCCATGACCTGAACTTAAATTGAGATAAGACTGGGGTAGCTAATTTCTCTGTTATGCGCTAAAAAATCAGAGTCCAGTGTTAAGAAGCAAAACCTAGAGTAAGAGGGTGGCATAAATCCCTTAGATAAACTAGATATTAAATGCTTCATTCTGTATAATTTGTTAATGTAGGCATTAAATGTCATTGCCCCATTAAGAGAGTATCTATTTCTTCTAGATTGTGGTGCAAACTCTTATTTTAAATAGCTGATCAAATAGTACTTAGAAGATGAATGCCATTTAGTTTTCAAGATCTTTCATTATTTGCTTTAATTTATCTTAAGATCCTGCTCTGCTCTGTGTAACATTCAAAATGAAAAGGAAGACCACACAAGAATCTTCACTGTCCCCACCACAGTGAAGAGAGGAAAAAGAGAAACCCCTTGACTTAGGAATACGAACTTTCTCCCCGGCAGATTTAATTAAATATCTAAATGTTAATAAAGCATTTGTCAATGGACTACTTAATTACTTTGAAAGCAATTCACTCCCCCACAATTCATTTTCCAGATGAGAAAGTGGAGAATCACAATGATTTAGGAAATAATCTCTAGCACAATGCATTTTGTAATCTCTAGCCAGGAAGAAAACATCTTACTTTGTTTTCTTTCTTATAAAATTAATGCTAATCATTGTCCTTCTGCGTATTTGAAGCCTGGAAGTGAAGATCTCCTCAAATTTAGAGAAAAAAAAATCACTTTCCTAACAGCTCCTCTTAGAACAGGCTCCAAATTGCAAAATAAAAATTACAGCATATATCTCTTCTCTGTATTTATATCTTCTGTATTTACATCAGAAGTGAATTTTAATTTAAGAGGCACAGCAACTTGTATTTTAAGAACAAATTAGCCTCATTAGCTAGTGCAAAATGCTGCTCCTCCAGCTATCATTTTGAGATCCTTAAAAATTAGATTTATCTTCCCTTTGCCATCAGAAGCCAATCCTCAGATTAAATGACAGCCTTCAGCCACACATAGAGCTAATATTGGCAGATCAGTTGTTGCTTTTGGTCACTGCCTTTGCAGACATCCAAGTACTAAAAAGGAGGAAAAGCGAAGCCATCTGACACCAGCATTTGTCTGGGGAGCGTTACTAAAACCAAATTTTAAAATGGCTCCTTCTGAGAGGAACTTTGCAGAGGAACAAGCATCCAGGAAGCTTTCTGGGGTCCTGACAGATGAGCAGTTCCACTTAATTCTTCAGTGTTGAAGGGTCGTGGTCAGGGTAAATCTAACGGCTTTGGAATGAAAAGTATGAGAACAATGTAAACTCATTTGTTTTTTAGCCATGGCCCTTCTTTCACTCCCCTAAAAAGACACTTTAATAATCTCATAGCCAGTTTCCCTCCTTGCAAATTTTAGTTCTCCCTTGTAAACTACAGTATATACTTTCACGCTAATTACACTTCAATAATTCTTGAGTCTCCTAGAAAAAAGATCAGGAAAACCCTCTTCCATTTCAATGCTCCATTCCTGTTACTTTTAGGCCCAATCACACTGTCCATTTTTCTCATAAATCAGCCCATCGTGTTAATCACTTTTGTTGCTTTATGCTGATTTCCCTCTAGTTCTTCTACGTCTGTCTGCTTTCAGGATACGCAGATCTGAACACAATATTCCAGGTGTGTCTTTGCCAAATGCACTAAATTACTCCACCTTTCCCTCATGACGTGATGTCTCTACACATACAGCCCCAAATCACATTAGCTTCTGTGGCATATTGCAAACTCGTCTAATTTGTTGTCCAGTCCCTGGTCCCTCTGGCATTACTGTGTTCTGGATTTTTCCCTCTCGCTGGTTACCTTTACAGCTTTTCCCCTCTCTAAATCATTGAGGTTACACCTGTCTGACTTAATTCTCATTTCGTTTGATCCTTTCTATATTTTTAACCTCAGAAACCCTGTGTAGCATTTCTCTTTATTCACTGGTGTGTTTCCAATACTTCCTGATTTAATTTCATCTGCAAATCTAATTAACATGCTGTTTACTACATTTTTTTTTCACGTTAGAAATGGACATGCTCAGGAAAAAAATAGCACTAACAGGGATTCCCGGGGCCCTTCTCAGCTCCTCTCCTACTGGGATAGCCTCAGAAAGTGCAATTAACTTTCTCCGGCCCAGGGGATGACTGTTTCAGCCACTTTACACCATTTTGATGGACAGCTGTGTCTCTACCCTAATCAGCCAATTTGGAGATAGAACAATTACAAAAGACAGCAATTACGGAATGCAGTCTGTCATTGTGAAGATGGAGGTTGAGAGAAGGAAGAGGAAAGAAGAAATGACCCAAATTCAGAGTCAGATGCTAAAAAGATTTCAACCCTACTGAGGGAGTGGACCCAAACAGGGGACTCTGAGAAGCAAAGAAACTCCTAGATTCAGGGAGGGGAAAATGCAGACCTGCTTTTCTAGTAAACCTCCAGCCCATCTCCCAGATTCCCAGTAATCAAAGACCAATGATTGTTTTTTGTTGTTCTTAAAGATTCCAAGAGTTTCTTAAAATCATGCTCTGCTATTTAAACAATTACTCTTAGGCCAGGGACAGTGGCTCACACCTTGTTATCCCAGCATTTTGGGAGGCCAAGGCGGGCGGATCACCTGAAGCCAGGAGTTCGAGACCAGCCTGGCCAACATGGTGAAACCCCGTCTCTACTAGAAATACAAAAATCAGCCAGGTGTGGTGGTGCGCGCCTGTAATCCCAGCTACTCAGGAGTCTCAGGCAGGAGAATCACTTGAACCCGGGAGGCAGAGGTTGCAATGAGCCAAGTTCATGCCATTGCACTCCAGCCTGGGTGACAAGAGTGAAACTCTGTCTCAAAACAACAACAAGAACAACAAAACAATAAACAATTATTCTTAAGGTGTCGTGTTATATCTCTCTGATTTTTTGTTATAATTTAAGTATAATCCACTTTGTTTTTTAAAGTAAATAAGATGACTGGCAAGATCTGTTTCAGAATTATTACAAATCATAGGGCTTTGAAGAGATGTCCTTTTACTGTTTCTTCTTTGGGCTCAGTACTTTCAAGTTCTTGATCTTTTGCTATTCACTTTAGCAATTGTCTCAAAAGCAACACATACTTTCTCCATATCCAGTGAAAAGATCTAAAAGTGGGACACTAACCAATAAGAAAATATTATTTCCCAATTTTAATGGTTACAGTCTTATCAAAAGATTAGAAAAACATCATAAGAAACATAATATGTATCTCCATTTAAATATGTATTTAATTATAATGCTTTCTAATTAAATGTATTTTTAATATGGAAGCAGAAGAACAAAAAAGGCAATATGTTTTTTAAAATCAGGTCTCTGGCAGAAGTCATGTTGGAAACTTATGGAGCTTAATAAAGAAATCCTTCCCAACATAGATTGTACAAACATCAGGAAGGAGAGAGAAACGAACTAAAAGGATTGGTTGCCAGGGAAAACTTTTTCATATTTTGGGGGGAGAAAATCACATTACAGGATCTATTGAATATTTTAAAAAAGTCTTGTACCTTACCTCTCTCCAACTTTCTTCCCTTCTTATAAAATAAGGAAAATGAAGTAGGAAACTACATAAAAATCCAGCTTTCCTGTGAGTATAAAAAAGGAAGAAAAGGGTTATAGACAAGAGATGCCCGAGAGAGACAAGAATTATGAAGACAACCAAATGTTCTCTATCAGGTAAGCTGAAAACAGATTGTAGAAAACTTTTGACACCAAACTTTCCTGGAACCCTGAAGCAAGTGAGTGTGCTCAAACTGGAAGTTTCCACAACGCCTTGGACAGACCCAGGCTTCAGAACATCTGTAGGTGAAACGAAACTAAACATTTTCTCAAGAACAAAATGAGGTAAGTCCAAATTAGATTGAGCATTGACTGTGCTTACTGGCTTTATCCTTTCTTGGACATAAGATATCTGCTCTCTTCCTATCTCAGCTTTCTCATCTGTTAAATCTACTCAAATATCCTCTCCCACTGGATTATAATAATGATCAATTGAATTGATGGAAGTGAAACCTCAAACTTCATACAGAAATAAGACATTTTTCCTAATCAAGATTTCACAAAAAGGCCGAGCACGGTGGCTCAAGCCTGTAATCCCAGCACTTTAAGAGGTTCAGGAGGGCTGATCTCCTGAGCTCAGGAATTCGAGACCAGCCTGGCCAACATGGCAAAACCCTGTCTCTACAAAAAATACAGAAGTTAGCTGGGTGTGGTGGTGTGTGCTTGTAATACCAGCTACTCAGGAGGCTGAGGCAGGAGAATTGCTTGAGCCTAGGAGGCAGAGGTTGCACTGAGCCGAGATGACGCCATTGCACTCCAGCCTGGGCAACAGAGCAAGACTTTGTCTCAAAAAAAAAAAAAAAAAAGATTTCTCAAAAAATGGCCAGGCTTGATGGTTCATGCCTATAATGCCAGCAATTTAGGAGGCCCAGGCAGGAGGATGACTTGAGCCCAGGAGTTCAAGACCAGCCTGGGCAACATAGTGAGATCCTGTCTCTCCAGAAAATTAAAAAAAAAAAAAAAGCTAGGCATGGTGGCCCCTAATCCCAGCTACTTGGAAGGCTGAGGTAGGAGGATAACGTGAGCCCAGGAGTTTGAGGTTGCAGTGAGCTATGATCGTGCCACCACATTCAGCATGGGTGACATGCTGCCTCTTTAAAAAAAAAAAAAAAGAAGAAGATTTCACAACAACTTGAAATGTTTTATTGTTACTGAGAGTGTTTATGGTTACTATTACTCACCACTGGAAAAACATTCAATTCTGTATTTATTAATCCTAAACCAATGATATTAACACTTCCATTTTCAGACAAGGGAACAAATAAGAATTAAAAATATTTAAAATATTCAAAATGTCTATTTAATACTTCATTGCATATAATTCTGATTCTATTTATTCAGTAACAATCTATTTGGAACAATCAAACTTAGTATGCATTTTTCATAGGATTTCAATTATGAATGTTTATATTTTGGAATTATCCTATCATTTAACTGCTTCTAAGTAGTTTGCTATATTCCCATGTATTCTACTTCTTTTCTTTTCTTTTTTCTTTTTCTTTCTTTTTTTTTTTTTTTTTGAGATGGATTCTCACTCTGTCGCCCAGGCTGGAGAGCAGTGGCACAATCTTGGCTCACTGCAACCTCCACCTCCCAGATTCAAGTGATTCTTGTGCCTCAGCCTCCTGAGTAGCTGGGATTACAGGTGCCCACCACCATGACTCACTAATTTTTGTATTTCTAGTAGAGATGAGGTTTCACCATGTTGGCCAGGCTGGTCTCGAACTCCTGACCTCAGGTAATTCACCCACCTCGGCCTCCCAAAGTGCTAGGATTACAGGCGTGAGCCACCGCGCCTGGCCCATGTAGTCTATTTATGACCACATACTTATTACCAATGATGTGAAGTAAAAAGCAAGTCATGCAATACTGACTATATTGAAATTACCAAACATTTGATAGTCATAGTTGAACTGCCAAGCAATGAATGATACAGCAGTATAGTTAAGTTCATTTAGCCACTAGGATTCCTGCAACAACTGGATCAACCATTTTTAGACTGGTTACATATCAATGAACAGTTGATGAACTTTGGTTGCAAATATGACTAAAATTACCCAGACTACAAATATTTACTCTGATTACTGCAATTGTTAACTGATCATGTATTGATCTAACCTAGTATTCATTGGTTAACCTGCAAATGGCCATGCATATAGATGCACAAAGTGTGTTATAATTTAGTTTTAACCTCCAATGACATATAGGCAAGAAAAATACATGTAAAATGTGCTATGAAAAAATTCCAGATATATGTGTGTGTGTATGGAAAGTTGGTATTGCCCATCGGAAGTTTGCTAATAAAATGAATATCAAAGAATATTTGTTAACAATTGAAGGACTCCCTGGTGATTATACAAAGAGATTGAGATAAAATTAGCAATATCCATATGTGAAAAGAAGCTTGAAAACAGATGAATACAGTCTTAAGCATCAAAAATATATACCAGCTGAACGCATTGAGCAATCTTAGCACCACTAAACATGGGATGACTAGGTATTATTTGCCCCGTAATGTGTTGCAATAGGAAATACACAGCACCAGCTATGAAGTATTCTTGCCTAAAAAATTGAACTTGAATCCCAACAAGCCTAGAGATCTAAATACCAATTCACAGGAAATACAGGAGATGAAAGACCAGGTTAAATGTCTTTACAAGCCAACAACGGGCCAAACTCAGAATGCAAGGCACTCTATGGACAAATGACCTGGTTTATCTAACTAATCAGTAACAATGAAAAAAAGAGAGAAAATAAACCATAGAGCCATTATCAGAACCTCGTTTGGGTCCTGATTTGAACAAACAAACTGTACAAATGTACCACTGAGACAAACAGAGGACTCTGAGGCTAGACTAGGAATTAGATGATGTTGAAGAAATATTATTCTGGGTTGTTGTGTGTTTTTAATTGCCCTTGCCTATTAAAAATGAACATTGAAGTATTTCAGGGTAAAATGACATTTCAAATTTACTTTAAAACACTCCAGGAAAGTGGGGAGAAAATATGTGTGTGGATGGCAGGGAGAAAGATGAGACAAAGTTAGCAAAATGTTAGTAATGGTTAAACCTACGTGATGGGTACCTGAGTCTGTCTACTATCTACTTCTTTAGTATGTTTTACATTTTTTCACACTGAAACATTTTTAAATGAGTAAATGAATCTACACTCCATTTAATTGTTTATTTACATAACACGGTGATAGATATCAGCACAGTAGTTTAGGGGAATAGATGGCAGCTTAAATCTTGATTTGCCTGCAAGTTCTAAATCATGAATCTTCAGTAAGTTCAATTTTAAACTGTAGTGAAACAATAGCCCAATAATCTCCATACAGGACTACTCTGGTTTTCATTAAAAACAAAACAAAAAACACCGAATTCTTACCTATCTCTCTTTTCCTCTTTTCCCACTTCCAGCAGACTCACAAGAATGAGTTGCTTTACAGCTACATCATTGTGTCTTCATAACCATCCCACAGCCCTCCTGGTGGGGCAAGGGAGGGAAAACAGTGCCTTAGCACAAACAGGCTCATTGCTAACATGCCTAGGGGCTATGTCTGATCCATGAATTGATGCTTTTCATTCAAAAAAGAGCTGGGGCGGGGGTCTTGCTAGGGGTCTGTAGCTGGTGCATCAGGAGAATGCAGAGAAAGCGGAAGAAGATGAGGTCTTAAAATTAATATATAAATTTCCCTTTAATTTTGTTTTGCTTTTGTAGATGGTTTTATTTTAGGTAAATAGGCTTTACTTTACCACCTCTCCAACACAGTTATTTTTTAAGCCTAGGAAAAAAAATGTATTCCAGTTTACCATGGGCAGAAAAGACAAGCTGCCCCATATGAAGGTGCCCCCGTTCACATCCCGTTGCCATAAATCCCAGCTCACATAGTACTCAAAAGCCCTCCAGGGATAGCAGAGAGGTGTAATGCAGAGCAACCATTCGAAGGGTGGAAGAAAAGCACATCCTGATGTCTTGGAGCTAAGAGAAGGAAAAGGATATTTACACAAGATGAGACACCAATACATTGGGAAGTTCAATGTGCTTAGAAATAGACAGTGGCTGGGACAAGTATAGGGGAATCAAATTGCTCCAACAGATTGCATGTTTCATGCTTAATTTTCATTTAATTCCTGAAGACAGCAGGCGCTCAAGGGAATGACCCACCCTCATCCTCAATCTTCAGAAAAACTTTTGCTGACCCCTCAAACATCAAGGCCTAGAAATATCCTTATTTGCTGCCTTGGATTGGTCATCTTCCATAAAGTACTTATTGATGAGGAGAAACGTTCATTTGAGATTCAGCCACAGAGTAGTGTTTCAGACCAAGGAAGATGTACAGGGTGGACATGTCCAGCCTCTTCCTCTGAACTGATTTATCTCTCATCATCTTTGTGCCCTGAGGGAACAGGAAGCCCTCTCACCACCTCCTCCATCTCCTAGTTGATCTATGTCACAAAAGTACAATTAACAAATTAATGTATCTGTTTTAAGCAGAAACATTTCTGTCAGCTCAGTCAAGAAATGAAGTAAAGTTAAGTGATAGAACTGAAGTTCTGAATAACAAGAATAGTTTTGTTGGGTTCAACATGAGGTTATAACAAAGTAGAAGTAATGGAGAAACTACAATCAGATATGTTTAAATGCCTTTAACTTATTGGGTTTTTTAATTAAATAAGGTAATATATGCAGGGCCAACTGGAAATAAAGACAGCATGTTGCTAATGGTCAAGAACTGGACACCAGGGAGAATTAATTAACCCTTAATGTAGTGGTTCCCCAAAAGTCTCCAAATACATCTAAAACATTCACTGTGCTGCAATGATCATGAATAGAAGCTGATTTATGGTGCTGATTTAGTTCAATATTAACTGGAAAATCTAAATAATTATGAATTTCCTTGGGGACATAGAGTAGGTGACATCCAACCAGTTTTTCTCATTTATAATTTCCCTTGGGGGAAAGAAGCTAGCTAAAATATATGTATAAAATTTAAGACTTTAAGGAAGACTGAGGCCTGATTTGTTTTGTTTCTTCCTAAGAGAAGTTTAGTTATTATTAGTGAGGGTGATTTTTTTAAAATTCTGAATATTGATATTTCATAGACCATAGGTTCATTTTTTCAACAAGAATTTGTGGGGTACCTACCATGTTCAAGAGCATGTGCTTCTAGATTTAAGAACCCAATATTTAATCCCCCTTGTTTAGTTTTTATTATTTTTAACAAGGTAATCGCTTTTAGCCTTCCTGTGACATGACTAGACTTTAGTGACAATAAAAATATTAGAATAATAATTTCTAGCCACTAACAAAAAAGTTGCTTTGTTCTTTCAACTTTACATCTGATATTAAATGTCATTGCCCAAAAGATTATACTATATTGTATTTTTATTCAAGCCCAACTTACAGCATTTTAGAGGAAATTAGAGCCAAGTCCCATTGGTATTTGAAAGTGGCAATATCATGATTTCTCCATATTTTGTATTCCAGCATTTTTTCTCTTTTCCCAACCTGTTCTGTAGACAGGTTTCCAATTTTGTACCACATCTTCAAGTGTGATTCTACAGAAAGTTTTATATAATTGGGGAATACTCATGATATTTCAGAAACAAATAACCCTCTAAGTTGATAACAAATAAATTTTGGTTTAAATGCAAAGTGTACTTTCATTTCCAAAAATCTGACCTTTATTTTTCACAAAACTCCTATGAAGAAGTCCCATTCATGAATTTTATCTATATCATAACAAAAATATCTAATTGCCTCTTCTATGAAATCTGTATTTATCAATTATGGCTTTCTCGGGGAAATTCTAATTTGCAAAAATGCTCCATATTCCAAGCTTTAACAGTTGGAGGTGGATGTCCTTAAGGATGGAGGGGAAAAAAGTTCTTTTTTAAATGGCACATTTACTAATTATAAAATGCTCTTATCTCTCTGCAGCCAAAGCCAAAATGAACATGTGCCTTGTACTAAGAAATCCCAGGATTGTCACAACTTGTGCCAGCTGTTGAGGTTGTGACACCTGTGCCAGCATCGCCAGCTCTGCCCACTGTCATCTGTTCCAACTGTTCCATCTGCACTGTTTGTACCAATTCTCCCATTTCTGCATCTGCACCTTCTGCAGAAACGTTTCCAACAATGCCAGCTGTGTCATTGGTGCCAAATATGCCAGATGTTCTATTTGTCCACCCTGGGCCAAATCAATGCAGTTTTGTGCTCATTAGTTTTAGCTGGTAGATTCTATTTTACAATTTTTTGATTTGTATTTTGATTGAATCCAGGCAAAATCCCCCTTTCAAAGATTTTGTGTCTATCTATCCATCTCTTTGCAACCCCAACTTTATATCTGACAACATGAAGTTGGTCAATGTTATTCCGATCTTATTAAACCAGCCCAATATTAAGTGTGGTAGGGCATTTCCTACCGTGTAAGACTATATATCGCAAAAGCCATGCAACATAGGGATAAGTTGGCAAAGTAATTAAAAAAGAATACACTTGGTTCTGATAAACAAATTGAGAATGCTCAGAAATCAATATGTTGAGCTGATTAGAGTCATCTATGGCATAATGTCCTATTAAGCTGCCTGTTTATTGGTCTTTTAATTGACGGAGTTATACATGTGGATTAATGTTTATGTTACAGACTCCCATTTTCTGGGTTCTGCTCTAGAGAGTATTAACCAAGGGTGCACACGGGTGGTAGGGCCAGACCTCCTGCCCTTGCTGTTTCCTGGTAGAACTAAGCAAGCTCAAAATCTGGTCCTCCGGCTTGAAGCTAGCTTCTCTCTCCTCTCCCAAATGTCAACTCTGCTGCTGCCAGCACAAGCCATTCTTATTCATATGCTCTTCCAGCTTTACAGTTGAAAAAAAAAGGTACTTTCATACTCACAACCCTAATATTCTCCGTCACCACACACCAAAAAATAGCGTTTTTTTCTTTTCCTTTCTCATTCAGGGAAGTCTTTTTAAGGCATCCTAACATTCATCTCTGAATTTTAACCCAAATTCTTTCTTCTCAAATCATTTGCAGATGTGGAGGCTGAGCCCGGCGTTTGCCATTTGAAAAGCAATGGCTTACCAGGAATGCGGGGTCCAGAGGACACGAGGCTACCTCCTATTTGCCCACCCTGGATCATTTAACTTGGCTCTTTCCAATAGTGAAAGTTGCATCCATACACTAATGCTTGAAAGTGTTAATGATAACATTCTTGACAATGGATAATAAGTCAGCTTACAATCATGTCCAAAGATTTGCACGCGGTCTATGTATGTGATGACACACAGTGAAGAAATTATCTCAACAACTTCATTAGGTTTTCCAAATCCACACAGAAAACACTAAGTTTCAGACAGGCGCTGGCTCATGCCTGTAATCCCAACACTTTGGGAGACCGAGGCGGGTGGATCACCTGAGGTCAGGAGTTTGAGACCAGCCTGACCAAAATGGAGAAACCCTGTCTCTACTAAAAATACAAAAATTAGCCAGGCATGGTGGCACTGCCTGTAATCCCAGTTACTGGGGAGGCTGAGGCAGGAGAATAGCTTGAACCCAGGAGGCAGAGGTTGCAGTGACCTGAGATCGGGCCATTGCACTCCAGCCTGGGTGACAGAGTAAGACTCTGAAAAAAAAAAAAAAAAAAAAAGAAAACACTGTTTCCACAGTGAATCCCCAAGTTCCTCTAAAACGAATGAATTTATCAAGGTCTTTGGCTAAAAAATCCCGGTGATATCTTATCTTCCCAAACAAAGGTCCGTATGCTGAGGTGCCAGGCCCATGTGGCAACTGTCTCAGCATGTGCCAGTAGTCTTGTATGAGTCCAGCACCTTCCACTCAATCATACTCTTCCTTTATAGGGTCACTTATTCTTTCTTTTTCCTTTTTTTTTTTATTTTTCTTTTTATTTTTTTTGAGATGGAGTTTCACTCTTGTTGCCCAGGCTGGCATGCAGTGGTGCGATCTCAGCTCACTGCAACCTCCGCCTCCCGGGTTCAAGTGATTCTCCTGCCTCAGCCTCCCGAATAGCTGGGATTACAGGCACCTGCCACCACGCCTGGCTAATTTTGTATTTTTAGTAGAGACGGGGCTTCTCCATGTTGGTCAGACTGCTCTCAAACTCTGGACCTCAGGCGATCTGCCCGCCTCAGCCTTCCGAAGTGCTAGGATTACAGGTATGAGCCACCGCGCCCAGTCTCCGATTATTTCTTAATATACCAAGTCCTTCACTCTTCTCTCCAAGTTTTACCTGTTTCTGATCCTTTCACTTTGAACCTTTTCCTAATCTTCTCTGAATACGTAGAGGAGATTGACTAAATATCACTTAATTGAATTGGTGGCTCTCTATCAAAATGTGTCCAGCTCCTAACTTGAGAGATCCCATCTGAGCCTGCTGACCCTACTTCTAGAAATGCCACAGACGTTTCTATTCTAATTCCCTGCAGTACAAGATGCCAGGAGGCAACATCCTTATTTAGGATTAAAATAATTTGTAACTCGTTGGGAGGGCACCCTGTGCCTTCTTAGTACATTTTAATTAATATAACTTCTGCTCCCTGCTGACAAAGATGTTTCCGATGGTGTTTGGGTCCAACATAT
Organism: Homo sapiens; assembly: GCF_000001405.40. Classification (NCBI taxonomy): domain Eukaryota; kingdom Metazoa; phylum Chordata; class Mammalia; order Primates; family Hominidae; genus Homo; species Homo sapiens. Next base: position 243,957,659 of record NC_000001.11, on the reverse strand, counting down.
TCACCGCCTTCATTGATGTGAGTCACTTGAATCCTTGCAGGAATCCACAAACTTCCTGGTTTCATGGAAAATAGAGAATTGCGTGTTAGAAGTGCCAGGTAGGCATACAGAGCTGAGAATGTTCTTCTTCATCTATCTGGCCCCTTTTATATAAGCTCTTAATATGGTGACCATGAGAACCTTCCAATTTGCAGATAAAATAGAAAATCACACATTTTCAGGTTCCAGTGCAAAGCAGAAAAAGGCCCTGAATGTTTATAGAAATGTGAGATCATTATGTTTAGCTTCCCCTTTTAGATAGTTGTTTTTCTAGAGTGAGTAAGTCACCATGGAGAAAAGACTGTCTATTGATCCTCTGGACATCTGGAGTAAACAGAGAACCTTAGTCCTCTTAAATTTCTCAAGTACTGTTCTACCTGCTTCCCCAATCTCACTGTCCACACTTTCAAATCTGGAAAAGAATGGAAAATCTTAGCTTCTTCATTGCATCATTATTGGGTGTATTAGTATACTATAAATATCATTCTTTGAATCACAAGTATAGTAGCAGCTCTATATTAACATTCGTGAAAATAATGTAAAATGTATTCATTAAAATAGTGTCAGCACAACAACTTACACTGGGTACCATGATCCAGCTGCTACTTCAGTTACCATGTGCTTCAGTTCAGTACTTCAGCTCATTTTCATCATTTTCTCACTCATTTCTATACTGTTATTTTTTAAGGAAAATGACACTATTTGACTCACTAAAGTTCTAAGATTTGCATTTGACTCCTAAATGGAAGTCCTCAAACTCCAATGCTGATGTACATAGATAAACTCTCTACCTCTAGAAATGAAACCTATCAAAATGTAGAAGATTCTCCAGATGTTTTTAATAAGGAAAAGAATGTAGAAGACTTTGAAGGAACAGAAACCGAGGTTAATAGAAAACAAAGTAGGGTAAGGACAGACAAAGAATAAATCACTGCACCAAATCAGTAAGATACATGGGCAGAAGTGGAATGTCCTGGTTAAATGAAACAGAGATCAGAGATCATTAGGAATGAATGACTCACAAAGTTACTGAACCATCGAGTAGAAAGGAGTTGTAGAAAAGCACTAATCCAACCAGAAATCTGAGATCCTGAAAGGTTAAGTGATGTATCCAAGCTCACATAGGCTCATTAATGGCAAATCAAGCCTCGAAAGCCTCTCTTTGTGCCTTAGTTTCTTGATCTGTAGTGCAGGGATGACAATAATAGTACCTAACCCATACAGTTGTTGTGAAGATTACATGAGTTAATGGGAGTAAAGCACTTAGACTAGGGTCTGACAGATTGTAAACACTGTGTGTTAGCTATCATCATCATCATCATCAGGATATTTCAACCTGTGTGATTTAACTTCTCTAGGATCCTACTAACTGAATCTTGCAAATCTCAGCATCAATTTAAAGTCCTACTTTTGTCCTAGCTACTCAGAAGGCTGAGGCAGGAGGATGGCTTGAGCCCAGGAGTTCGAGGCTGCAGTGAGCTATGATGGCACCACTGCACTCCAGCCTGAGCGACAGAGTGAGACCTTGTTTCTAAAAAATATTAAAACTAAATAAAGTCCTACTTTTATCTTGGGCTATAGGATCATCTTATTTGCATAGTTTTATTCTGACCATCAAATTTTGCATTATGAACAAAGAAGTTGGAATCTGAGTCTGGAAGTAAGCAATGGCCCCACCACTCGATTTCCTGTGTACTCTCTGGCACAGGACGCAGACATCCAGCCGACGGAGGGGACTCAGAACTGTCCAAGTTAATGGAAGGAAGCAAAGTCACAATGAATCTAGACTGAGAAACAACACAACAACAGTATTATCTGGCTTTAGAAAGAAAGCACACTCTCCATCAGTAGCACCCTCGCGGGTGCCCAGGAAGATACTTCTCAGTTACCTCTTCTGTGCCGGTCACGGGTATGTGGGTTCTTGCTGAGCAATAGAAAGAACGAGGCCACAGGGATTCCAGGAAAAATAAAACAAAAAACAAAAAAACTCCACTCAAAATGGAATGAGTTAACCATGTTGAGAAATTAGGAGGAGAAGACAGAAAAGAAATTATAGTAGCATATCATAAAAATAATGTCTCATAATTGCAAAGCACTTTATACTTCCCAGTTGTTTACTATGAGCTTCTGATTCTAGGCTTCAGTATTTGCTAGCACACTAGAATCCCCTGGGTGGGCAGCCTCTGAAAAGTAGAATGCCAGACCAATTGACTCACAATCTCTTAGGGATGAAGACCACGTATCTGTGTTTGTCAGAAGCTCGCCAGGCTATTCTGATGCACCCAGAGGGTTAAGAAACCACTTTTCTAAGCTTGGTCTCTTCATGAGAGCAGCCTCCAAACAGATAAATTTCAATGCACTTAAATTAATTATTTAGAACTTCAGAAGTTTGAACTCCAAACATGAAATGTTGCTTCATTGAAAAGGTTGAATTAAATTGGATTAACTTTTCCTTTCTAGGCTCCTGTTCTCAGATTTTTCTTGCTTCATCTGAATCCATTCAAGTTGGACTGAATCTCAAAAGCTAGAGATAGAACATTAGCTCCTGAGTTAGCTCCATATGCTCCTGTAGGAGTCTGCATCTCTGTTAACCTTGTTACAACTCAAGATCCATTACAACAAGTCTTATGATACGTGATGATACAGACGGAAACGTGTTAGAGAGGTGGGCCACTGCACTGGTATTCAGCGCTATCACAAACATACAGTGATACCTAAACCTCATTCATAGCATCAAAGTAGGAATCCATAGTGTGTTGGACATATACTAGATAACTTTCCAAGCAAATGTTTCAAATCATAATTAAAGCAGTTCATAGCACTTTTGTGCATGTAAGAAGAGTTTCCTAACCTGTGGACTGTGGCACACTTATGTGACCCAGATGGCTCATGGGGGTGCCAAGATAGTGACCCCTTCATCCTGGGGACAGCCGGAGCTTCTGGGCTACTTGCCTTCAGACACTAGCAGTCTCACTCCATTGGCCAAGTATTACTGTTTTCTGTATGTGCCATGACGTGAAGAATGTTGGACCCCTGAATAGCACAAGCCAACCACTGGAGCAGCACCCTCTAGACATCCAGATTCCTAGACCAGAAACATGTTTAGAAGAAGGAGGAGGAGAAAGAGGAAGAGGAGGAGGAAGCAGCAGCAGTAACAACGTGGGGTTCACACGTTTTTATTTTGGATATTAATACAAAGAAACTATCACCTATGACTATAATTCCATAAAAGAAAGAGGATTGTTGTGCTATTTCAAAAATGCTTTCATTTTAAAGTACTTTACATCATGCAAGAGACTGCAGCCCAAAGATATGGTACCGATAAAATATTTCACCAAGAGGAATTGAATCTTTTCCTCCTGAATTTTATTTTGAAAACTTTTAATCCTATTGAGAAGCTAAAATAATCACGATGAATATCAATAGCCCCCTTAGCTATATTCACACATTGTTTACATTTTCGCTTTATCTCCATCTAACTTTTCTTCCTAAAGAACAATTTGAAAGTTACAGAAGTCATGTCACTTCACCCCTAAATATTTTCTCATGCATCTCTAAAGAAAAAAATATTCTCCAAAACAATCACAATACTGTTGTCTCACCTAAGACAATTAGCATAAATTATAATAATCTAATAGGCAGTTTATATGTGAATTTCCCCAGTTGTTTAGAAGTGTCCTTTATAGATCTTTTTCCTTCCAAGATTTAATCCAGTTCCATTTATTACACTTGGTTGTTATGTCGCTGTAAATCCTTCAATCTGGAATCCTCCCTGCACATTTAAAAAAAAAAAAAAAGGTTTTCATGACCTCGACTCTTTGAAGAAAGAGAAGTTGTCTTGTAGAATGTTCTACATTCTAAATTTGCCCATGTGCTCATTCAGGTCGAAGGAGCATTTTTAAAAACTCTACAATAAAGAGGAAGGATATAATCTCAGACTAAGCGAACCCGTCTATTTTAATGGAGAAGTTCTCTCCATAGTCTGTCTCCTAACTCCCTGTGAAGCCTCAATAACTTAGTCGCAGAATGGCACTTTCCACAGGCCAGCATTAGGCAACCTTCATCCTACAGAATAAAAATGATTCCACCACAGTCCATCTACCAGTTCAGTGATATCCCTAGAATAAGCCCCCAGGTCTTCAGAGGACCGGCCTGAGTTCTGCCAAAGTTTACTTAGACAGGCACTTGGGCAGTTGCTCCTTCCAATCAATCTAGTAGACTAAGATGATTTTATCTTACCCTAGATGTTGTCTGTGCGCAAAGGAAAATGTTCTGGGGCTCAGGGTCTACTGAACAGTTAATTAAAGACACTAGAATTCTGCATCTGCTGACTTGCCCACGAGCCCCATGCTTTAAAGAGGTGCAAGGCACCCGGGGTACTGCTGAGGACTGGAGCAAGGCTTGCAGATGCCACAGGGTGGAGAGGCTCACGGTGCCCTATCGCCCCCTCGCCTGCTTCCTGAACTTGCTCGGTGCCAGGAATGTCCGAATTATCATATGCCCCATTTATTGCAGACCTCTCCAGTCCTGGACGATAAAACAGAAACATTCAAGCATGAGTGGAGCTGTATCATGGCACCCTGACTTTCAGCAAGGGACTTCTTTAGTGATGCTGATGAGGAGGACAGCGCATGCACACAGAATTCAGGACACAGGACGACTCCAGGCAGGGCCATTGATTCCTCCTGGGACCCATCCACCAGTGTTTGTGGGGTGCCAGTTGTCTTCCTCTCAGAGGCAAGACTGCGGCCCCCCCAGGTGCTGTTCTCCACGCCATCTGGAGCTTTCCCTGCATCCTGTAAGGTGCATTCCATGGCCAGGGAAGAGAGAAGACTTGCAGCTGCTTCTGTTTCCATAGCTGGTCACTCCATTCCTGAAGTTGCACCTCCACCTTGCTGATGAGGACGGAATACGATGAATACGTCAAGGACAGAGCTCACCTAAGTATCATAATTCCGGTGCCAATTTCTTTCAAAGGGGCACTCATCTGCTTCTAAAAAAAGACTTGCCGTGGATTACAACAGACATTGCCCACCTCAGGCCCTCCACTTCCAGCCAGCTGCTCCTGCGTCTGCTTTGTGCCATCCCTGAACTCAGCGCTTCTCCGAGGCCTTGTTGGCTGCGTCTCAGACTAGGTTCAGCCAGAGACGGCAGAGACTGCGCTTGGTGGCCCCATCGCCCTCCCCTCGGCCGGCACAGTGTCCTTTCATTGCTTTCGTCAGCGTGTCCTCGTCATCCACCATGTCTCAACAGGCTGGAGACCGAGCACTGGGTATTTACAGGTGAATAAGACAGGGCTTCTGGTTGAGGGGTTTTAATCAGGCTGGGGAGACATAAGATAATGACCATAGAAGCTCGTGAGAATTTTAACAGAGGGAGGAATTCAAGCTGCCTGGGGGAGGTGGGGAAGATTGCTGCTCAAGCCATGTGGTGGGGAAGCACCAGGCCTTCCCATTTCAGGCAAACTAGACAGTGTGTGCTTTTTATTTCAGGGAATTGTAAGCTTGATGAGCTTGATATGGTGATTGATGAGATATGCAGAGTATCAGAGGGAAGAATCATCAACTTAGAGGTTTCTAGCTGGCAAACATTAGTGCCATTCACTAATAAAGGAAATTCTTAGCAATTGGATTTGGGGCAGGACAGATGAGCCATTTATTCATTTATCTTTCAAAAATATTTCGTTTTTTGTTTGTTTGTTTGAGACAGAGTTTCACTCTTGTCGTCCAGGCTGGAGTGCAGTGGCGCCATCTCAGCTCAATGCAACTTCCACCTCCCAGGTTCAAGCGATTCTCCTGCCTCAACCTCCGGAGTAGCTGGGATTACAGGGGCCCGCCACCATGCCCAGCTAATTTTTTTGTATCAAAAATATTTCTTTAGCACCTGCTGAACTGTGCTAGTTTGGGACATATTGGTTTTGAGTACCATCAGAGTACCGAGGTGAAATGTTAGTTTAACTCATCTTAAACATGAATCAAGCTCAAAAGGGCAATAGGGACGGAGATATCCATTAAGAAGTCATCAAGGCCAGACACGGCGGCTCACGTATGGAATCCCAGCACTTTGGGAGGCCGAGGAGGGCGAGTCACTTGAGCTCAGGAGTTAGAGACCAGCCTGGGCAACATGGTGAAACTCCATCTCTGCTAAAAATACAAAAATTAGCCAGGCGTGGTGGTGCATGCCTGTGGTCCCAGCTACTCAGGTGGCTGAGGCGGGAGGATTGCTTGAGCCTGGGAGGTCAAGACTGAAGTAAGCGAAGATTTTGCCACCGCACTCCAGCCTGGGCGGGAAAACAAAACAAAACAAAAAAAGTAATCAGTGTTTTTCCCAGGAACAAATTCTGCTTCTTCGAACCCTATTTTCTGTTTTGACCATATCCTTTCTGTGGACACATGGTCTCTCTAGCTGGGCTACTGAATATTTATTTAGCATAGTTAGTCACAGAGTGGCCCCTGTTCTGTGGGTCTGGGAGAAAGCCTGCATCTTCCTACGATTCAACTTGATGTTCTGAGTTTTGGAGGTATCCCTTCCATCCCAGCCTATACTCTCCAAATTCATTCTGGAATTTTTTTTAAAGAAGCATCTGAGTACAAGACTGAGACTTAAATAACTATATAATGCTTAGGAATCTCCTATATAAAAAGATCAAACTGTACAGAGGAGTTTATTTTCTTATCACCTGCTATAAGATTATTCATTGCTGTTTTATGGCCGGTATGTTTATCTGGTTTGATAATGGCTATTTTGGCAAAATAAAATAAAATAAATAAAATGTGGTTGTCATCTAGATCTTAGGCAAAACATATGAATTATTTCAATGATGAGACAAGATACCACCAGGCATCATGAGACAGCCTATCCGGATTGCGGGGAAGGCTCTTGCAGGGAGAAGGGGAGGCAAAAGAAATCTCCTGACTACTGAAACTTGCAAATCACAAATTATAAAACAATAAAATCATATCAAATGCCACCACCTTCTTTATGGAACCCATTAAACCATGGTCAAAACAAGGGGCTACATTTCTTGAAGATAAACAAGGCAGCCTGTGTTGTCATCACTTAATTGAACTCAAATCCTTCATTGGTATCCCAAGATGATCAGATACCTTGTAATGGAAATTCCCCAGTTATTAACAGTACAGGAGCACTATTGTGAGCCTAAGTTCTCAACTTGGGTAACAAACAGCATTGCAATCCTCCCTGACTCATCCCTCGGGCTGTTTCACTAGGGCCCAGTAAACTGAGACTTTGGCTCTTGGCCGCTAGCATTCCTCTGGGATTCTGTGTGTCCCACAAGACAAGAAGTCATTTGTAAGATCCAACATGCCTAGCTCAGAAATAAGCACGGGTGTTCACAAACCCTTCAAAAGGTAAACACTGTATTAGGGACCCAATATCTAATAGGTGAATTTAGGGGAAGGAAAGTGTGTTTGTTTCCTAGGTCTGCCACAATAAATGTGCCACTAACTGAGTGGTTTAAAACAAAAGATATTTGGCTGGGCGCCATGGCTCACGCCTGTAATCCCAGCACTTTGGGAGGCCAAGGCAGGTGGATCGTGAGGTCAGGAGTTCAAGAGCAGCCTAGCCAACATAGTGAAACCCCGTCTCTACTAAAAATACAAAAATTAGCTGTGCATGGTTGCACGTGCCTGTAATCCCAGCTACTCGGGAGGCTGAGGCAGGAGAATCGCTTGAACCCTGGAGGTGGAGGTTGCAGTGAGCTGAGATCAGCCGTTGCACTCCAGCCTGGGCAACAGAATGAGACTCCATCTCAAAAACAAAACAAAACAAAAACAAAAACAAAAACAAAAAAAAAACAAAAAACCTCACACACCAGATATTTAACCTCTCACAATTCTGGAAGATTAAAGTCCTAATTCATAACCTGCAGGTGTCTGCTGGGCCACGCTTGTTCCAAAGGCTCCAGGGGAGGAGACTTCCTTGCCATCCTAGCTTCTGGTGATTGCCCGCAATCTTTGGCATTCCTTGGTTTGTGGCCTTGTGTGTCTGTGTCCCTATGTCCAAATTGCCTTCTTCTTATAAGAACACCAGTCATTGGATTAGTGCCTACCTTAATCCAAGACAACCTCATTTTAACTTTATTTAACTTTCAAAGATCCTGTTTTAAAATAAGGTCACATTCACAGGTATCAGGGGTTAGGACTTAAATCTTTTTGGGGGGACACATTTCAACCCACAATAGAAGGGAACTGCAGGTTTTTAGCCTTTGTTCTTTGTCACAAAAGACATAAAAAATTTTATTTTTTACAAATCCTGGAGGCTGCAAATTTTAAGAAAAAAACAGTTTCAAAGTTATGTGAAGCAGAGAGGTATTTTACCATAATTTTAAAATGCATTCTAAATAATTTTAAAAATCCACAAATTTGAAAATGTTATTAGCATTATTAAATTTTATTTTGAACTTTTAACATGTGAGTAAAACATGCTAATAGGACTGATGAAGACGTACAGAGACAGAACCCCGATAGGGTGGCAGTTGTGGGGATCACTGTGCAGACATGCAAGCGGAAGTAAAAAGAATTCTTTGAGCCCCCAAAGATTAGGAATTGGCAGTAATGCTTTTAGCACCTCCATATCCTATCAGTCATTTTAAACATCTAAGATTCCCATTGCAGAAACATGGCACATAGAGTCAGGAAACAAAGGTTATATAGATATTTGCAACCTGTAACTGTCCTAGGATCGATCACAAGAAATTCAGTAGGTGCCTCACATAACTAAGCACTGATCATTGATACTAAGACCAGATATGTGATCTAAATTAGCAAAGACACACTCCATGCTGCTTTGAAAATAATCACCATAGATGTTATGCTTTTTCTTGATCATCTCTTTCAGCAACACCAAATTGCTCTATCACCCTTCAATTCAGATCTCCACAGTAACAAGTTTTTAAAGCAATTTGCAGCATTTCACTTTCTGTGGGCCAAACCCTGCCTGGACAGTCCCTTTTATAATCATGACTTTCTCATGGAGCTAAACAGGTGAGGATCAGCCCCAGGATACTAGAATCTGGAACAAATGGATTTATAGCCACTCTAAAATTGCAGGTAGGCTCTGTCACTCCCACTAATATCTACAAGTCATTGCAAATGGAAAGGACAGCAGGACTGGCCAAATCTATCTTTGGCTTTCTAAAGTCAGTCTCACTGTGCACTGCTCTCTACCAGAGTAAGACTCAAGAATAAATGATTTTAGTGAATGAGTTTTTAAAAATAAATTAATGAATTAACAATTTAAAAAGAGTAAGTGAGCAGCCATTTTTTTCTGCCATTCATCTGAGCTCCTGTGAAATAGTTCCAAGCAAGATTCTGCCCAGTTAAGAGGAGGAAGAGACCTCAGAGGTTGTCTGGACAGGCCAGGTGTGGTGGTTGACACCGGTAATCCCAGCACTTTGGAAGGCCGAGGTGGGAGGATCACCTGAGGTCAGGAGTTCGAGACCAGCCTGGCCAACATAGTGAAACCCTGTCTCTACAAAAATATAAAAATTAGCTGGGCATGACGGCAGGTGCCTGCAATCCTGGCTCCTGGGGAGGCTGAGGTGGGAGAATTGTTCGAACCCGGGAGGTGGAGCTTGCAGTGATCTGAGATCCAGCCATTGCACGCCAGCCTGGGCGACAGAGCGAGACTCCGTCTCAAAAACAAAAACAAGAACAAAAACAAAACAAAACAAAACAAAAGAAACAGAAAAGACATTATCTGGACAGGGGCAGAAAATACTTAAGACTTGTGAACTAAGCCTCCCAAGTCAGTGCCCATCACATTGATTGGCCAAGCTGCACTAGGAGACTCTCCACAGGAGAGCATGTAGAGCACATGCTAAGGTTCTCTATCCTAGAGTAGACCCCTGCCAGCTGGAACTAGCATTTAAGTTTCTCAGCAATTAACAGTCACCCTTGCTTTCTTTCCAGGACGCTCTTTCCAAATGCCCTGACTGTGCTCTGCACAGATCACTGAGTCTGCTTTTTCCTCTGGGTGACAGATTCCTCCAGGCAGGGACCTTCTCATAGTAACCCCTTAATTCAGTATCTGATGCATACTAAATGCTCAGTAAATTTTTGCTCAATGAAAAAAGAAAAACACTATTTCCAGAAAAGACAGTATATGAGGCCTGCCTTTCCAATTTGAGTATAAATTCATTGTATTAGAGTTTAATCAAAGTAGTTAGTTCACAGATTACTAAGACAGTGAGATGTGATTTGTGTGCTTATGTTTTCATAGGGACAGCAGGAGGGGTGGAGTTAAAGTTTAGGGATCTATTTTGGAAAATTACAGGTTTGATGGCAAACTCTTAATTGCCAGCAGAATAGGACGAGGGGTTGGAGTTGGGGTGCATGAGCACTAGGGGGCACTGGGGCCCTGGAAGCAAGCATTTCTCCACTTTCATAAATGACTTAGGCTGTCTCTACTGTTGCTCTTCTCAGCAGGTCGGGCCCGTTTAAGGGTAGCCTAAGGTATACCTCTCATGTGCTAATTACCAACAACAATGGCAATCTCTTTTTAGAGGTGAAGCTAGTAGAAGTTCCTAAGTGGAGAAAGCATTCCTGCTACCATGCAGCGGAGGCGCGGAAGGCAGACTCGTCACCTGTCTGGCTTGCTTCCCTCTCGTCATCCTGTCCCTGCAGCAGGCAGCAGCTGTGTTCCAGTTTTGCCCTCATGGCCTCTGAGATACTTAACTCCAACCTATCTGGTTCTTTTTTCTCCCCACACTCTCCACCATCATAGCAGAGACTCAACGTGTGATCCAAGTTTAGTGCCTTTTTTCCATGCCAAGCAAAGTGAAGTCATTTGGCCTTGGATGAGGTGTCTGGTACACAGCTAGAGGTAGCATGGAGCAAATGAGGTTTAAGATTCAGGGACCCTCACTTGAGGATTCTTCTGAGGCTCTGGGAGGGTGCTCAGCAATGTTGCATTTCTTATCGTGTAAAGTTCTTCATACATGTGTAGACAGACATACATAGACACACGTTCTATAAACTTTGGCCCCCAGGCCAGGATCCATCCCTGGTCTCGCATAAAAGCTCTTCTTGGACTAACACACTGTGAGGCAGCCTGACCTGGCCTAGAAAATTCCATTCTCCAAATCCAATCCCTTAGGCTCTTCCCAGGCCCCACCATCAACAGCCCTCCGTGTCTCCCCATCTGTTTATCAGAGATTACAACTCCTCTCTGATCTTGCTGAGCTTTTCTTGACCGGAATCTGGGGTTGTGCCGATAAGAGCTTCGTGTCTGCCTTGGCTTGCCTCTTCGTTTTTTCTAAGACTTCCTTTGTCTAGTTTTTTGTTTTTTTGCCATGGAGAATCTGCATTTCTCTCCTGTTTTTAAAGGCACATGTCATGATACAAAATACAATTCCATTTGGTAGTAAAAATCACAGAACTACTGAAAGGTTTGTTTTGTTTTGTTTTGTTTTGTTTGAAGCAAGGTTTCATTCTGTCACCCAGGCTGGAGTGCAGTGGTGCAACCCTAGCTCACTGCAGCCTTGACCTTTTGGACTCAAGCAATCCTCCTGCCTCAGCCTCCTGAGTAGCTAGGACTACAGAGGCACACCACCATGCCTGGCTAGATTTGTGCGTGTGTGTATTTTTTTGTAGAGGTAGGATCTCACTATGTTGCCCAGGTTGGTCTCGAGCTCCTGGCCTCAAGCAATCCTCCCACCTTGGCCTCCCAAAGTGCTGGGATTACAGGCGCCAGCCAGGGGGCCAGACCTGAAAGTCTTAATGTAAAACTAGGCAGCAGGATTCAAGGTCAGCCTGGTTGAGACAGATTCCTGAGCATTTGTACCTCCCTTTGAAATGATAATTTGGATTAAACTTCAGATTACTAGTTACCGTCAGTTACTCGATGAGTCCATCTTCATCTGGGCATCTCTCCTTCCACTGGGTGGTATTAGGGAAGCAGCTCTTATGACATCATCTCAGAGAAGGCTTCTCTAAGTTCATCAAAGGAGCAAGCTCTTTCCTACCCCAAGGCATTTGAACTCACTTTTCCCTCAGCCCAAAGTACTCTTATTCCACACTCATGAGTGGGCTGGTTCCTTCTCATCCATCACAACACACTATTAAACATCACTCTGGCTGGGTGCGGTGGCTTACCTCTGTAATGTCAGCATTTTGGGAGGCCGAGGCAGGCAGATCACGAGGTCAGGAGTTCGAGACCAGCCTGGCCAACATGGTGAAACCCCATCTCTACTAAAAATACAAAAATTAGCAGGGCGTGGTGGTGCACACCTGTAATCCCAGTTACTCTGGAGGCTGAGGCAGGAGAATCGCTTGAACCCAGGAGGCGGAGGTTGCAGTGAGCCGAGATCGCACTGCTGCACTCCAGCCTGGGCGACAGAGTGAAACTCTGTCTAAAAATAAATAAATAAATAAATAAACGTCACTCTTTTGAGTGGTCTTCCCTGTCTACGGTAAATTTGCTGTCATTGTCTCAGGCACATTTGTTTCCTTCCCAGACTACATAATTATATAGGTATTTGTTTGTTTACTTCTCTTTTTTTCTGAGTCTTCCTTTATACCGTAAGCTCCATGAAGGCAAGAATTGAGGCCATCTTTTCCTGCATTGTGTCCGCAGCACACACACCACAGTCTCTAGCACAGCATACGGGCTCTCCGTCGATGTCTGCGGAAGGGCTGCTATTGCCATGACAACAGGCCAGATCATTTCACTTGTCCTGGCTTTTTTCATAATCCAGACAACAGAGGCGTAGCACATTTGTCCCAGGCTCGTAACAGCGCTCTCCCTAAATAGTCAGAAACAAGGGAACTTAGCTATTATCAGAGTCTCTTTCCGAGTTCAGGAGTTTTTCTTTGCGAGGTTCCTGGTGTTAGTGTGGCATCTCCAAGGCCTCTGTTTTCTCTCCTACACACACCTTCCCCAACAAGCTGGCCTGCGTACTGACTCAGCAAGGGCAGGCCAGGGCAGATGCACAGCGTTCCGACTGAATGGTCTCACCAAGTTCCACCGAGGGCTCCCTCCACTACCTGAGACAGTGGAGTTCCCAGAGACGCAGGCGTTATTTACATAACTCTCCCCTGCAGAGGAGACAAGCAGCCGAGGTTTGCTTCAACACCAAGGACAGCTCTTCTGAAACGGAGGCAAGGAAACGGACTCGGCCCTGTGCCCCACTCCCTCCTCTGTTAGGGTTCTGGGCCCCTCTTCCTCTGTCATAGCCTCAGAGGTTCAGAGGGCCACTAGAAGGTTATACTGGGTTCAAGGCCAGGTTTCACTCAGCCCTGAGCTCAGGGGCTCTCCCTTGGAATGCTGTATCTCCGACTTATACCTGAGGACACGGAGAATGGAGTATAGGCGGGGCCTAGGGGGATGGGGTGGAGGAGGGGAATCCCAGCTTCTTCCATCAGGAATTTACAGTCTGGTCCAGTCTGGGTTAGTCTTGGCAAAATATTAACTTGGAAGTTATTTGTTCCGGCTGCCTTTTCCTTCTGTTCATTCCTACAGAATGGGGTGTTTACGTGAATGCTGGCTCAGATATCTCAGAAGCTAGAGCTTGCGTCTAAGATTAATGGGAAAAAAGTAGGGTCCTCATATGTCTTGGGAAGCTCGAGGACCCCACTCCTCTATTAGCCATTAAGGGTATGGACATCCTCAGAGACTTGAATCAAAACATGGCTTGGAACCACAGACTGTTCCCCTTGGAACTTTCCCCATGAGGCAGTCATGACATGGTTAGTGGCTCTGAGGCCAGTGCAACTCTGCAGTCCATTTGCCTTGAGAGAGCAATAGAGACAGTTCAGAGGAGGTGAACTCTCACACCCCTGCCTATTGTAGCTGGCAGGAAAAACTTCCAGCAAAGGGTCACACTGGGCAGAATGAACTGTTTCTTAGGAGTTTTGCCACTGCAGACAGAGTGCTGCAACCCAAGGGAGCCGGCAGATCCGTGAGTGCTGGGCAGTGCAGACAACGACTGCAAAAGAGGCCTTGCTCAGATGACAACACTGTGCTGTGTTGTACTTGGATTTTGGCATCCATTGATTGATTGAGAAGATATACAGTGACAAAAAGATGCTATGAATTCAGTAATGCTTTTAAATGGATCTCTATCTCATTAGATACAGAAGCATCTGTACACATTTTCAAAGCATAATGAAGATATTTCTATAAGACATTCCACATATAAATCTTGGTGGATATGTAGATGCCTAAATTCTTTGCAATGCCCCTGCACTGTCCAGGCATCTACAGCCCTCATATTCTAACCATTGGTCCAACATACTATGTCAAAGGGCCTAGCCCTTCAGGTATGATGCAGCCAGCCATCAATATGTTTTATTCAATATGGTGACAAACCCAGGCAGTCGCCATCCCCTCAGGAACCAGAGGCCAGGCAGAGGCTGAGACTGCTGACCCAGTGTTGGGGGCCGGGGCACAGGCCATGGATCAGCTCCAGGGAGGAAGGCTAGCGAGAGCCATGTACCATGCAAGAAATCCACCCGGGAGGCTGGGGCTCAGGTCAGGACTCTGCTTAATAGAGGCTATTAGAGGTAGGGGTGCTAGAACAAGGCAGGCAGCCATCGACGGATGCGGCATCACAGGGCACAGTGGGATGCAGAAATTCAAGGGGCATACAGGAGATCAGGGCTTACCCTTGGAGCTGGTTGGCAGCAAAGGACATTGGCAGGCATAGAAAGTTAGCAGACGTGGCACAGCGTGGCATTCTGAATCTGCAGGGGTATTTGATTGAATTCTCAGAGCTACTGGATGGGGAATCGGGCTGAGATTGCAGACATCTTTCTATCATCAGGATTGATTCTAGGACCTGGGGCCAGACGGAGCCAGCCAGCGAGGGTGTCAGAACAGTCAGCAAGGGGGACTGAAGACCGCGGTGTCGGAGGCCATCAGGCGCTGCTGGCAAGCCTGAGAAAATGGCAGAACACCTCAGCCTCATAAGACAGGATCACTCAGACTCAGAACGTATCAGCACATGCTCCCAAAGCTTCTGAGAACTCAAGTTATTCAGGGAAAAAAAATAGAGCTATGGAATAATTTCTGAGTTTCCCCTCTTTTTGCACTCTACATACATCATTGCATTCTGTGGGGGAAAACATTAATACTTGGGACCTCACTTCCAAAAAAAGAAAATGAGAGTGAAACAGCTTTATGGGCAGAATCTTTGTGGGCTCTCTTGATTCAAATCCTTATTGTAATTCAGGAGCCAGAAGCTTTGCCACGCCGCCCCCACAACTCAGACTGAAGCTGCCTCTCCAGACTGGAAGAAACAGCTCCTAGAAACAGCCCTCTCCCCAAGCCCTACAGAAACAGTTCCACATCCTTTGTCTATGCATCATAAACAGGATGATTAATGTAGATGATGGTGGTGCTTAAAAAAGGATCACTGAGACCCGGGGATGTTATCTAACAGCAAGTTTCTCAAAAACGCTTTTCACAAACCTCAAAGCACTCCCCGCATCAAACATACCCAATGGAGCAGCCATAGAAGGCCAGGAAAATACATTGAGATGAGTAGCGTTCAGAATAGTAAAAAGTTCTAGGGATGACCTAAAGTCAAGACAATGCGCCGTGGTGGGGAGGGAATTCTGCCCTGAGACTGGCATTCATGGACGTCATAAATAAAAACTTTAATAAGAAGGAAAAAGCACAGCCCAGGAGAAGGGCAAGCACATAGCTGGTCGGGAGTCTCATGGTTGCTCTGATAGGTGGCACACACTGCCAGTCCCATCTGAAAAGGATGACTTTTTGGCAAGAGAGGATTATAATTAATTCAAGAGGGAATTTTCTTAGCCGGGCATGGTGGCATGCACCTGTAGTTCCAGCTACTCCAGAGGCTGAGGCAGGAAGATCGCTTGAGCCCAGGAGTTCAAGGCTGCAGTGAGCTAGGATTGCACCACTGCACTCCAGCCTGGGTGACAGAGTGAGACCCTGTCTCTAACAAAACAAAACAAAGCGAAACAAAAACAAAACAGAAAGGATTTTCAGGTGAAGCTCATAAACTTCCTTCTCTTTCATGCTAGCTCAAAAATCCCGTTGAGGCAGTAAGGATTCCTACTCAGGCTAGAGTTCCCACACAGCTCATGCCCTAAGATACACACCTGCTTCCACCCTGACCCTGGCACAGGTACGTCTTCTACAGATCAGATGGGGTGCCCTCCTTATTTTCTTTCCTGCTGGCCACTCTCATTATAGGATAAAGTTTCCATAGGCAAGAGGAGGCATGGCTGGTCCCCTTCCCACTTCATCCCCTCCCTCTCCAACACAGGTAAAGTTTAAAAGGTATAGTTAGTCCCACATGTCAGCAGGGCTTAACAAATAATAAGAATGGCCCCAAGGGCTGGTCATTTACCATCTGCTGCATATGGCCTCTGTGCCGTGTGCTTCACCTGGGAGATACTGCCTACTGGCTTCTCGTGTGGGGGATACATACGGGCTCCGTGCCGTGTGCTTCACCTGGGAGATACTGCCTGCTGGTTTCTCGTGTGGGGGATACATACGGGCTCTGTGCCGTGTGCTTCACCTGGGCGATACTGCCTGCTGGTTCCTCGTGTGGGGGATACCTTTGGCTGCCCGCCTGACCCATCCACTCCTCTCTTCTTTTCTGTGAAGGGAATCCTGACCAACCTCTCCCCCGTGAAACTCAAGTGACACATGGGAAATGGACTCCAACCCATCTCCAGAGCGAGGTGCTGATGGATCTAAATGAATCATAGTGAGCACGTTCTCCCTGCCAGAGATGAGCTGGGGAATGCAGACACAAGCTTATGGCCTTCCTTACCAACTGTGTTAGCCTAGGGACAGGCACACGAGTATGAACCGAGTTGACCAATCGGCCTGAAGGACAGGACCCCTGATCCATGCTTTCTCTCACTCTCTCCATCTGGATGTAAACAGAGGAGTACATTCCCCCATTGCTGTTGGTAGTCATCTGGGTACCATGGGGGAAGCCATTCTGAGAACACAGCTGACACATGGAGACAGGTTAGGTAAGGAATCATCGAGCAGCAGAGCCAGAGCCCTAATCATCTACACCTGGAGCCTGCCCTGCCTCGGAACTTCTTGATATGCGAGATGATAAATACACAGATTATTTAAGCCAGTTTGAGTCAAATGTTACTTGCAGCCAAAAGCATCCAACTGTTGTATCTGGAGTAAAATCCTTCTCCCTCCATCCCTCTCTCTGTCCCTCCCTCTCTTCATTCCTTTCTTCTATCTCCCTCCCTCCTTCCCTCCCTTCCCAGTCTAGCTCTTCTGCTTTTCCAGCTGTGTGACCTTGGGCAAATCCTTTAACCTCCTGGTTTTCAGTGCCCTCATACTGAATGAAGGAGCTGGACTAGAGTAACCTGTAAGATCCCTCCAAACTCTAACATTTATAATAAAAAGATTATATCATATAATAATACTTCTATGAAAAAGACAAGTATCATTATTAAGTAGGTAAACCACTGAGATTACTTCAAACTAGTTCAAGCTGAAAGCAGAGAGTTGCCAAGGCAGAAAAACGAAAAACAAACAAACAAAGAAAAAGATGGCTTGAGAAGATGTGAAGTAACCTCCCATAAACAGCAGGCTTCAAGTCAATGAACACAGAAAATCAAGGAGGTGAAAACCATGTACCCCTGAGAATGAATGAGGTGAAAATAAATTGACCACAAAATCGTATGTTCCCTTTTATACTCAGCCAAATACAGTCACTCTGTTGTGCCTCCTGGCTCTGTCTACCCAAAGAAGATAAGGAGAAAGGGCCCCGAAGCCTTATTCATGAGAAAAGGACAGCAGTAAACACTGGAATGATTGGAGAAAGGAGTGTTATAGGGGTCAAGAGCCTCTGAGAGTCCATCTCCAAGCCATTTTTTTTCCCTTCTGCATTCACATGGATGTTCTGCTCATTCTGAGTCTCTGGTATTGCATGCCACAATGACGAAAGACTGTTTCAGCTCAGAATAGGTTTGCCCCAATAAATAACTGTTTGGGGAGGCTGCTGCCCTTACCTATCTACTGCTTTCAGTAGTAGGGATACGGTCAATAAATCATGAGTACAAGTAACTGGGGAATAAGAACAGGGAAACATTATCCTTAAGAACCCAGGGACAAGCAAGGCATTCTATGTCCCAGGTAGCAATGGCAGTGAGGGTCTGGGAACAGCGCCTTTGGGATCCAAATAAGGAAGGAAAGAGAATGCTTAGTCATGCAGGAAGGAAGAAGAATGCTTAGTCATGCTATCTGGGCTCCTCTAAAGAGGCCCTCCATCATGCAGCATGATTCTGGCATAAAAAGAAGTTCTACAAATAGTTATTGAATTGATGACTAAATTGGGTAAAAATACATCTAAGTGAGTGGAGATACTTTATAGCAACCAGGTAGAGGGGAAATTGAACAAAGGCAGGAGCAGTTGGGGATTGTGTGTGAAAATAATAATGGAGGGGGTCCAGTGCAGCAGCAAAATAGTTATACTAGTGTTTCTCAACCTGGTTGCCCTTAGAATCACCTGAGGAGATTGAAAAATAATAGCCATGATACTTGAACCCCAGCCCAAGAAATTTTTATTCAGCTGGTCTGCTGTGGGGCTCAAGTTCAGGACCTCTGGAGGAGGTAAAAACATGGTTCAAATCAGCTCTTAAAATTGACTTTTCAAGTACAGAGTTTTGACAAGCAGCTGCTAGGGTGTTCAGTGTGATATGAGCATGTTTCTGCTTTTGTCTCTGCCCGCCACTGAAGACCTCCCCTCCACAACCTCATGGCATCCTCTTTATTTACAGGTTAAACATCCTGGAACAGGGTGGAAGTGGTGGCTCACCCTGTAATCCCAGCACTTTGGGAGGCTGAGGTGGGAGGATCGCTTGAGCCCAGGAGTTTAAAACCAGCTTGGGCAACATAGTGAGACTCTGTCTCTACAAAAAAAAAAAAAATTTAATTAGCTGGGTATGGTGGTGGGCATGTATAGTCCCAGCTACTCAGGAGGCTGAGACAGGAGCATCACTTAAGCCCAGGAGTTTGAAGTTACATTGAGTCGTGATTGCACCACTGCACTCCAGCACCTGCCGTACAGAGACCCTGTCTAAACTAATAATAATAATAATAATTCTGGAACAAATCAATGGCTTTCTTATGCCTTCCTTATCTGCGATTCATCAACAGCAATGTCATCCTTCACACTCTGACATGTCCCAGGGAAATTTCTGAACTCCAAAAATGATGATTAAAAAGAAAAAACAAAACTTTTCAGGAAATTGAGTCATGAGCACTTGTCAAAATTTCCTTTCAAATTTGATTCAAAAGAAGAGTCCAGAAACAGACCAATTGAGAGGATTTCTCTCTTGGTAGACACACTTGTAGGGGCAAAGAGAGGTTTTTGGAAAAGAAGACCTGGTTCAAGATCATTAAATTCTTGGCTGACAGTCAATTGAGCGGGTAGAATGCTAATTTCTCAAAGGTAGGCTCTCTAAGCTCATTAAAGTCTATTTTAAAATTGCTTAAGCATTTTATCAGAAATTTTAGTATCTTCCCAGAAGGAAATGGAGACATACATCATGAGAAAAGTTTTCCCCAGACCAGGTCTGGGACAATTTTTCCTCTAGAGTAAATATCTTGCAGCTCTCAGACAAGAGGGCATTCCCCTTTTAAAGCAAAGGAAATCATTTGGCACTATCCTCTACTCAACCCTAACACCCATAAGCCATGTCTTCAGACTTTGTAGGAAAAAAGATTGTCTGATCCAAGATTTCTATACCTGACAACAAATTTTTCATATGTGAGGGCAAACTAAAAATATTTTTGTTCTGCAGGGATTCTAAATGTATTCCACTTTATTCTCTTTCTGTAAAACTCACTCAAGGAAGTACTCTAACAAAACAAAAATTAAATTGAAACAAAATTCCTAGAAAGAGGGAAGCAACCTGTAAAATAATTACAATGAAAAATTAAGTAAAATTTAGAGTTAAATAGGTGATGAAATATTTTTGTAAAATATAAAATAAGACTCCTTAAAATAGAAACTGTTGTAAACAAACAACAGTAAAAAACAGCACCATCACCTCCAGTCTCTTCTGTGACATCTGTTCCCTGTCATGTGGCACGAGAGAGTATATACTTGAGAGGCCCATGAGTCTCCTGCCTGGTAGACTGAATTCTTTTTCACTAACTGATCTTGGCTTTTAGCAAAATGCCTCTTCCCTCAAGCAGCACCAAAGGTTGAGATGTTCTAAGCTCACTCCTAAGCATGGCGGTCCTTAGGAATAACCCTGAAAAGACTATGAATAAAGCCAGAGATTATAGGAAGGGTATAAATACAAAAATGCCCCCCTAATCTCAACGCAGAGAGCAATTTTCAACTCCTCCAAAATAGCTTCTACAAAGAGGCCAGAAAAGCAATGCCTAGTACATAGTAGGCAATCCATACATGTTTTTTGAAAGGAATCAATAGAGTTTACCTGGCTGACTTACATTTCCACTGCAGTGACGTAAAAGAATATATTGGTAAGTAGCATACAACCACAGTAAGTAATTGTAACGCTATCTTGTTATGTAATTTCTTAGAAGTCAAATCATAAGATTTGAGGGCAGTAACTTTATTCCTGACTACATGTCTACATGTTTGTGGGCTCCAGAAAGCTGTCATGAAGCCTGCAGACACTCAATGAGCCAAAGGAAGAACGCTTCCCCAGATATTGTGCTGTGGAGGGTCAGGCGTGGCGTTTGATTCATGAGATTGTATTTTCAAATACATTCATTCAGCGGAACAAAGTACAGGTAGCCCCTTGTATCTGTGGGTTGCACATCCATGAATTCAACCAATTACAGATCAAAAATATTCGGGAAAAAATGCGTACTGAACAGGTACAGACGTTTCTGTCATGTCATTACTCTCTAAACAACACAGTATAACATCTATTTATATAGCATTTACATTATATTAGATGTTATAAGTAACTAGAGATGATTTAAAGTATACAGGAGGATGTGAATAGGTTATATGCAAATACCACTCTATTTTACATAAAGGAATTGAACATGCATAAATTTTGGTATTTGCAGGAAGTCCTGGAACCAATCCCCCACAGATACTGAGGGATGACTGTAGTGTGTGTTGTTCAAACACAGTTTACTTAAACACTTATTGAGCCTTTAGGCAGTGCAAGCATAGTGTTGAGTACTTGGTCTCTACATTTTCTGAATTATTGTTATGCCTTCTCATGTGACCATCATGAAATCCTAGGAAGGAAGCATGGATTATTATCACCATTTTACAGAAGAGAGAACTGAGATCCTGTGGGGTCAACTCTCTGGTCCAGAGTTAAACTCTGTAGCACCAGGATTGAAAGGTGGATCTTTCGACATATAGTCCAAGGACCAGAAGGAAAAAACAAAGAATGCAAGATGCAGCTACCCAATGACCTAGAAGAGATGTCCATGAGCACATAAGGTATGTGGACCCACCGCAAAGCCCCAGCCACTCACCATGCAGCCCTCCCAGCATCTGATTCTACTTAGTTCACATATACTATGTGCGAGGTACAATGCCAAGGAGTTTCATGCACATTTTTTCATTTAAACCAATAATCTCTGTGAACCTACGTGGCTATCCTTTCTCTCCCTTGAATGTCTCAAGCTTTTTCCCATCTTTAGACATTTGTTCTCACGTTTCCTTTTGTGCAATGCTCTTCCTCTGGGTCTCAACACTCCCCAGAAAGGCCTCCCTTGAATACCTCATTTCAAAGTTCTCAAATATTTTGACTATTTCTCAGGACTCTTTTTCTATCAAAAAGACAGAGGGATTTTGTTTATATGAGTTATATCCCATCAATATTTCCTTAATAAGAATTAAAACAGAAATTTTAAAAATTTTGTTAATCCACTTAAAATAACAACTTTATTACATGACAACATAAATCACATATTTTTCTGAGAAATGAGTAGATTTGTCCAGAGCAGTTAGTGAGAAGAGTAGCATTGGTTTACAGTTTTGCAACTTTCTTTAATGTCTAGCCTAATAGAAAACAACTCAATTCTCATCAGTATCTCTCTCATCATTCAGTCTGCTGGGATGTATTCTTTTGGTTGAAGTAATATGAAGAAAATTTGATCTTGCGCAGTTATATAATTGGAAAAAGGAGGAGTATGTTAATAGCTTTTTCAGATAGTTGTGTATATTTTTCTTTGATATTATACCAACATTTGATATGTGGGAGTTTCTAAAAGCTTAGTGGCAATGTGGAATCTGAAATTGTATGAATGAACGTTTCTACTCTATTACACTAAAATCCACTGGCACACATGCACTTAGAATGGATCTTTTTCCCATTTATGATTTTGTAACATTGTGTACTGATCATTTGAAAAATAGAAGTTGACTGAGCTATGGAGATCTCTCAAATGTTGACACATTGTATTACACAAAGTTTAAAAAATCATGTTCATTAATATCAACATTGATCTCATCAGAAAAGTATTTAAGCACTGAGATTCTGTCAAGTTCAAGGTGGAAGATATAAGATTTCTAAAATTCCAATCTTCACTTGTAAGTTCAAACTTCATTACTGGCAACAAATACTTTCAGTTTTTTTTTTTTTTTTTTTTTTTTTTTTTGAGAAAATGTCTACCAGTTATCCAAGTCAGAATAACAATAATTTTTCTGTCAATCATCTTTTAAGTAAAAGTGGTATTCCATGATATAAGCAGCTAGTTTAGCTAGCAACTCAAACAACTGCACAAATGCTTTTCCTCAAGATAACTATAGTATTCTGGTATGTAGCAGAAATACTACATGCATACTTCCCATTTTCCTCCAGAATGTTTTTTAAATGTGTATTCAAGGGTTGAGATTTAATAAAATTTAAACACTTCAGTATTTCATCAAGAAAACTCATAAATGAAAGTGGCATATTATTTGTTTGTTTTTAAGAACGTATGGTGGTAAAAGGTACAATCACTACTAGTACAGTTTGGTGGTATTGCTTCACTCTTGCTGAGGTGCAAGCAGTTTTACCCATTATGACTTTTATTTCATCAGTGCAAATGTAAATACAATGAAAAAAGGAGGCCAGGCATGGTGGCTTATGCCTGTAATCACAGCATTTTGGGAGGCTGAGGCAGGAGGATTGCTTGAGCCCAGCAATTTGAGACCAGCACTAGCAACACAGTAAGACTCTGTCTCTACAAAAAATTAATAAATAAATTTGCTGGGCATGGTGGCATGCACTTGCAGTCCCAGCTACTCAGGAGGCTGAGATGAGAGAACTGCTTGAGCCTAGGAGGTCGAGGCTGCAGTGAGCCATGATCGTGCCACTGCACTCCAGCCTGGGCAACAGAGCAAAACTCTGTCTCAAAAAAAAGGAAAGGAAAGGGAGGGGAGAGGATGAGAGGGGAAGGGAGGGGAAGGAAGGGGAAGGGAAGGCAGGGGAAGGGAACAGGAGGGGAATGGAGGGAAGGGGAGGGGAGGGGAAGGGAGGGGAAGGAAGGAGAAGGGAGAGGAAGGGAGGGGAAGGGAGGGGAAGGGAGGGGAAGGGAGGGGTAGGGAGAGGAAGGGAAGGGGAGGGAAGAGGAGGGGAGGGGAGATAAAGGTAGGGGATGGGAGGGGAAGGGGAGGGGAGGGGAGGGGAGATGAAGGAAGAGGATAAGAGGGGAAGGGGAGGGGAGGGGAAGGGAGGGGAGGGGAAGGGAAGGGGAGGGGAAGGGAGGGGAGGGGAACGGATGGGAGGGGAAGGTAGGGAACGAAAGGGAAGGGGAGGGGAGGGAGGGGAAGGGAGAGGAAGGGAGGGAGAGGGAAGGAGGGGAAGGGAGAGGAAGGGAGGGAGGGAGAGGGAAAGGAAGGAAGGGAGGGGGAGGGAGGGGAAGGGAATGGCAGGGGAGGGGAGGGGAAGGGGAGGAAAACATCTTAGCATTATTATGAAAATTATCTTGACTTTGTGGGCTCCCTGAAAGGGTTTCAACCTCTACCACTACTCCCTACCAAGAGTCTGCAGACCACATTTTGGAAAGTGCTGCTCTTTCTGAAGGGTCACCTGTGATTGCGGCTCACCGTGGTCACTTTCGTCATCGTACTCACCATAATATGTAATTCTCATTGTGTCTCTTACCTAATATCTGTTTTCCCCATTTGAATATAAGTTCCATGTGAGAACTATATCTCCAGGCTTAGTAATTGCCACATTGTAAATTTTTAATTATTTTTGGTTGATCAATGCATTTTTCTCATTTTCCGTATAAACAGGCCGACACTAGGGGGGTTAGTGCCTTGTCCCAAGCTCATAGTGAGAGGAAAAGGTAGGACCAAAGTTTGAAACTCAGTCTCCTGCTTACTCTTCTGGACTAGTCTTCAAAAACAGTAAGTTAATTATTAAAAAAAAGCTTCTACAAAATCACATTTTATTCTTAGCTATAATAAAAAGAAGATTTCCATGTCTGCAAGAACTAAAGGATGTCTTGCTGACATTTGTTTGGTCGGCTGGTTTTATTGTGGGAAATAATGCCATCATGCCCAGTTAGAACCCTGGTTTTTAGTGGCAGTGTGCTTCTGCCTATCTATGAGCTTGGAGCAGAGATGTTTGAGAGCGGAGGGCCAGGTGGGAAGGGATCGTTCATAGTCTACAGCGTGGGGGAGGAGTTACATGCCCAGACAGAGACAGTTCAGTCCCAGCTATCCCCTACTGCCCATAGCTCACAATCTCCTGCCCTACCTTCTCTCTAGCCAAAGGGAGTTTGAAATTCAGAGGACCCACTAGAATGCAGCAGCAGTGAGAGGTTACCAACTTCATACCACTCACAGACACGTAAAATGTTAAACTAAGAACCTCATTCAGACACACGCATACCTTCTCTCTCACCTAGCCACTCCCATCCGGGTTCAGTACCCACTCCAACATTCTGAATTTTCCAAAGGCTACATGGACGGAGGCACAAAAGGACCTGAGGTCCTGTGGCTCAGAGTGACCAGGCTTCAACTCACCTACTTTTGTTGTAGGTTGTTTTTTTGTTCTGTTTTGTTTTGTTTTTGTTTTTGAGATGGAGTTTTGTTCTTGTTGCCTAGGCTGGAGTGCAGTGGCACCATCTCAGCTCACCACAACCTCTGCCTCCCAGGTTCAAGTGATTCTGCTTCAGCCTCCCGAGTAGCTGGGATTACAGTTGCCCACCACCACACCCAGCTAACTTTTTTTGTATTTTTGGTAGAGACGGAGTTTTACCATGTTGGCCAGGCTGGTCTCGAACTCCTGACCTCAGGTGATCCGCCCGCCTCAGCCTCCCAAAGTGCTGAGATGACAGCCGTGAGCCAATGTGCCCAGCCTGTTGTTGTTTTAAGAGACAGGCTGGAGTGAAATCCTAGCTCATTGCAGCCTTGAACTCCTGGGCTCAAGTGATCCTCCTCCTCAGCCTCTGGAGTAGCTGGGACTACAGGTGCATCACCATGCCCAGCTACTTTTTACATTTTTTGTAGAGATGGGGTCTTGCTGTGTTGCCCAGGTTGGTCTCAAATTCCTGGCTCAAGCGATCCTCCTGCCTTGGTCTCCCAAAGTGCTGCGTGACCTACTTTAAAAGGCATAACAGGAAGCCAGAGACCCGAGTTCTAATCCTAGTCATGTAGCTATTTTCTCCACCTCAGTCCTCTTACCTGTAAACTGATAGATTATGCACATAAAAGGCCAAGCATCAAATGTTTGTTCCGTTCTAAGATAAGTCATGGAAAGCTCTGCAGCAGAGTGAAATCCCTATGCCATCAGATCTGAATCTGCATTTTAAGAAAACTCCAGCGTATGCTTGGAGTTTTCTCTTTTGCACAACCCCTACCTTTTTCATAAGCTGTCCCTCCTTAACCACCCCGCAGTTCGGCCGCATGCTGTGCAACTGGCCCGGGCGGTAAGCAATCAGAAAGAAACAAGGAATGGGCACCGCGCTCCCCTCTATTTGGAATCACGAGGAGGGCCTGGGGCGGCTAACATGGACCGAGCTGCGGGGAATCACAGGCCCCTGGGCCTCCTGGAGCCTCCTGGATGCAGAGCCCGGTGCCCGCGGGGAGGGCGCAGCGGCTACAGGTGAGGCCTGCCAGGGGCCGCGGTGGTGCCCTTCCGTGTCCACGGGGTTGTGTTCCTGCGCCACTGGCTGCAGGGAAATCTTCAAAGGCATGAGCGGAATGAGCCGAGGCTGCAGCAGTGCATTATCAGCCGGCTCGCTCCCTTTCACGGCCAGGGCCATAATCCCCTCTTTGTGCTCCCTGAGTCATTTATAATTCCTCTCCCTTTCCAGGTCCAAAGACACGCAGGAGACCAGCCTCCTTCACTCGTTAAGTCCTTCTCTGTCATGCACGGGGTAGCTCTGGGCCCCGTGGCAGAGATTCCAGCAAGTTCCTCGACCCACAGCGTCCCAGGCAGCTCTTCCCACACTCTCCAGTCTGGGGGTGGTGGTGCATTCTGATGAGGGGAGGAAGTGGCCCGGCCATAGCCTGGGGCCCGAGAGGGGGCCTCCCAACCCAGCCCTTTCAAGAAAACACTTTGGGGGCCCCTTAAAAGTTAAAGTGGCTCTGCTCAAACAAACCAACAACAACAACAACAAAAAAGGAATCCACACTAAGAGGTCCCAGGGGAAAGGATTAGAATTAGCCCTCTCTTTCAGACTCACTGGCTGCTCAGGATGGCAGGATCCGGTCCAAAATTGCAGGGTTAGGAGGAAAACAGGGCAGCTGGGACTGAATTTTCTACTCCTGGGATGACTATTGTCTCTAATATTCCACAGGATGCCACTGGGTAAAACTTAGAATAAGAAAGGCCTTCAAGAGAGAAGCAGAAAGAAAGATTCCAGCAGGGTGCATGGTGGCTCACGCCTGTAATCCCAACACATTGGGAGGCCTAGGTGGGTGCCTCACTTGAGGTCAGGAGTTCGAGACCAGCCTGGCCAACATGGCAAAACCCCGTCTCTACTAAAAGTATAAAAATCAGCCAGGCGTAGTGGCAGGTGCCTGTAATCCCAGCTACTCTGGAGGCCGAGGCAGGGGAATCGCTGGAACATGGGAGGCAGAGGTTGCAGTGAGCTGAGATCCCACCACTGCACTTCAGCCTGGACAACAGAGCGAGGCCCTGTAAGCAAGCAAGCAAGCAAGATTCAAAGGTGGAGGTTGGCAACCAGTAAGGAAAGAAACGAAGACACAATGATAGCAAACTTTCCTTGAACACCATCTAGATCTAGACGCCAGGCACAGGTAGGGCTCGAATTGCACCACATTCTCTGAGTGTGAGATACATCATGTTATTCCCATTTTGCAGATGAGGACACCAAAGCACAGAGGTATGTGTTAAACGAATTTGGGATTGAATGGAGGAACTCTGCTTAGTACCACTCCTTGTCTGTTTTGCAAAACCTGGCTAGTTGGCAGGCCCTCGGGAATTTAACAGTTTGAGGAAAATTCTAGCTCAGAAGCTTACACAGGCCACGTAATCTCTTTGAGCCCCAGTTTCTTCATCAGGAATGAGAGTGATAATTGTTGACTTTTCAGGTACGTTGTGAAAATCAAATGAGATCATGTGTTTGCATGAACTTTGCAAAGTAGAAAGCATTTAGCAAATATAAAATAATTTCCCATTATCCTAGTCCATCCCTGGAGGGAAGGCCTTAACCATATCTGCTGAGAAGGGCACCCATGTGTACTCATCATCCATCAAAGAAATTTCTACCTCCACCATTTGTTATATAGACATTGGAAAAGCCCCTTTTCCAAGGGGGCCTCCTTCTTTAACAGAATTCCTTCTTCAGTACGTTGAATATACAACTGAATTTCAGTTGCTTCCCACAGGTATTTCCTTATAACTTAGAAGCAAATTAGCAGGCATCATGATGAGTCTATGGTTAATAACATGGTCTAGGGGAAAAAAACAAAAAAACAAAAAAACAAGCCTGGCTTTTTTAAGCCTGGGGACTGAGCTAGGGAAGTCACTGACTATGTCTTTATTTGCTGCTCTGGTCACAGCTCTACAATGATTAGGGTGAGATTTTCTCAGGCCCACCCCTGCCTTTTAAATCCTGTATGAGGGCATATCTGAGAAAATCAGTCAGGAAAGCTTCGTAGAGATGCTTCTGGAAAGAAAAAGGGAGCATGCAAGATTCTGCACATATCTGGCCTGGAAAGGGAGTGAGTCTTCTGCAACATAGTTGAAGGCAAATGCTTCCCTAGAACTCTAGAACTGGCATACGAAGATCTAAGCCCATACAACAGAGTGGAAGAAATGGCTTCCGCAAGGCACACCATGGCATGGGCTCAAGAGTACTTCAGACTTGTGGATATAGCTGTATGCACACAGCAGGAAACCTTTTAATGGATTTATTGGTAAAGTTATTGCCTGTTGCCTATTACATGAGTATCTGTGGCCTATGAAGGGCAAGCCAGGCTGGGTGTGGTAGCTCATGCCTATAATCCCAGCACTTTGGGAGGCGGGCAGATCACCTGAGGTCAGGAGTTTGAGACGAGCCTGGCCAACATGGTGAAACCCCGTCTCTACTAAAAGTACAAAACTTAGCCAGCCATGGTGGTGCACCCCTGTAATCCCAGCTATTCGGGCGGCTGAGGCAGGAGAATCACTGGAACTCAGGAGATGGAAGTTGCAGTGAGCCAAGATCATGCCACTGCACTCCAACCTGGGTGACAGAGCAAGAATTCATCACAAAAAAGAAAAGATGCAAGCCAGAACTCTTTTTTTTTTTTTTTTTTTTTTGAGGCAGAGTTTTGCTCTTGTTGCCCAGGCTAGAGTGCAATGGCACGATCTCGTCTCACTGCAACCTCTGCCTACCAGGTTTAAGTGATTCTCCTGCCTCAACCTCCCGAGTAGCTGGGATTACAGGTGTGTGCCACCATGCCTGGCTAATTTTGTATTTTTAGTAGAGACAGGGTTTCACCATGTTGGTCAGGCTGGTCTCAAACTCCTGACCTCAGGTGATCCGCCCACCTTGGCCTCCCAAAGTGCTGGGATTACAAGTGTGAGCCACCGCACCTGGTCACAAGCCAGAACTCTTATGAAGACCTGAGAGTCAGGAAAAATTTGCATCTTTTTAAAAAGCGGCATGCTTTTTTCTGTATGAAAATTTGAATTCTGAAGTTGAGAATATGTTCCTTAATTTTACAATTTACCATATTTCCCATTTTCCTCTGGTAACCAAGAAACTGAGATCCAAATTTGTCAGTCCATTTTAGCAGAAGTGTAAGATTTTATGATTTTTGGATTGTGGTCCTCCAATCCTATCCATATTTTCCATAGCCTGATTCAATATTTTGTCCGGTACTATATAATATATATAGTAGATACTGTACCCAGACCATCACGGAATGTGGTAAAAATATATATATATATAAAATAAAATAAATGTTTCTAGGACCATCTAAGTGGGACCCTGGGGTTAACAAACATCTAAGAAGAGCTGGCTGGCGCTGGGAGCCTGGCTCTTCCACTTACCCATGAAGGCATTGACTTTATAGGAATTCAATGAGAATTAATGATGCAGCTGCTTCAGAGAACTGTAAGCTACTTTAGAAGCAGAGAACTTCTCAGTAAAGCCCCAAAACCAAAGAAGTTCATATTCTTCTGAATCCTAGTGATGGTCCAGCTCTTGATGAAAGCGGCCTTGCCTCAACCCCTGCCATGCTCTGCTCCTTCCCACCCACCTCAGCCCCGTGGCTCCTGTTGCTTTGTTTTCACAAGGTGGTTTGTTTTTCATATAACTTACAAAATTGTCCCTTGGACTTCTGAATTAAGAATGTCTAGGTGGCGAAGCAAAATCCAAATGATAAGACGCAATAGTACGTATTATTATCATTATTTGGTATATGAAAGAGTCTGCTTGTGTTTCATAATGGAAGACTGGCAAGTAAGGTACTGCTGTCTGAATATTTCCCATTAAGGTGGCAGGAGATGAGACAGCACCAGGGTCAGTGCCACCTGAAGCTAAATTATCACTTAATATACATAGTGAGCAGCTGATGTCCAGAAGTGAGCATCAAGCTCCTTGCTAACATGATGAGCAATGGCCATCTGTCCCCACAAAGCCAGGCAGCGTGACCTTCAGTCCCAGGCATTGCTAGCATCATTCTTTCCCATGATGAAGGACGAGAGAAAGAGCTGCTCTGGTAATTCTCTGTTATTAGCAACAAGAAAAACCAAAGTTCTTGTCCCTGTTTTTATTACATATTTTCTCCTAAAAAAAGAAATAGAGGGAGAATCAAATGGGAACCTGGACAGCAAGTTAAAGCTTAGAGCTGTGTGATTCTATTTCCTTAGAAGGACGACATATGCATACACTTAATATGCAGTCAAAGAGCAAAGCAGTGCACATGCATTATACTGGAAATTCCTTCATGTTTTATTAATTTAAACTACATGAAAATATCTAGCTGGAACAAAAGCCACAGCTCGAAACCTCAGGCCACTGAACCTCTATTGATGAATGGCGAGAGTCACTCTAATCTCTGACTACTGTTGTTGGCATAGAGAAAGTAAACAACAATAGAAGGAGGTGAGAACAAATCACTACAAAGATATAACCTTGCCAGTGAGGGGTTTGTAATCTGGATTGACTCATTAAATTCTTATGTGAGTTGAATGCATTCCCCCATTTGTGTCCTGCATTCTTTTCTGTGTCTGTCATACAAGGGATCGCTAGCATCATCAGAACAAAAAGCGAGGGAAAAGTAAGTGGCTGCTTCTCGGTGGGAATCCAGCATTTGACAGAGAGCAAGATAACCATGTCCAAGATCAACAACACCAGACATTAAAAAATGTTTCTCTAAGCCTGAGCGGTTCTCACAATATCAAGCAAATATGTATGCAGTGTGTTATTTTTGTAAAGAATTCTATTTTTCCATAACCTTTTACTTAGCTCTCAGGATTTTTTTAAGTTTTTTTTTTTTTTTAAAGAAAAATGTAAGTCATTTCCTAAGAACTTGGCTTAATAGACCATTTAAAGAAATAGGAAACATATAATATAGGGGTTGCTTGGTGCATCCGCTTAGCATGTGTTAGATCAGGAGAAAAAAACAATTAGCCATGGCTTAACGGTAAGGATTATTCACTGTTGCCCTCACGAGAGTCTGGAGGGGTGGGTGGGTGCAGGGTAGTTCAGCAGCTCAAGGGTCCCCTCACCGGCCAGACTGTTCCTGTGCCTCTGTTCCACCATGCTCTGTGGATTGGTTTTTCATTCTAATATTTGTCAGCTCAGAGTCCAAAGTTAGCTAACAAAGCTTCCGGTATCGTATTCTCTCACGGGCATCCCCAGCAAGCGAGAACTGGGCAGAGGCAAAAACATTTTGCCCTTGCTGGGCTCCCTTTGGATTCAGGAAGGGAAGCCCTCTGTAGACTTCTCTTTGCATCTTATTGGCTGCACTGGGTCTCATGGCCATACCCAGATCAATCACTTAACACAACGAAAATAAGTTCAGGCCCATCATGATTCACTCCTGGAATAAAATCTTTGCCCAATACCTGCTGGAGGTGGGGGGTGGCGGGGGAAATTATGGGCAAATGGCTATTGCATAGGCACAGAACCCTATCCCGACGTCTATCTCAGTAGGCCAGGTCACCTCCTCCTCATTCTCCAAAACGCTTCCATCCCATGGCGCTTCCTTGAAACTTCTCAAGAATGGCTCATGTAAAGTAGCTGCACACCAGGTGGGATATTATATTTCAAATCTGTTTCCTTTATGTTTCCATATATTTTCCTATTATTTTTCATTCTTCTGTTGGTCTATGTATGTAATTTTGCTTCTGGCAGCATCTGTCTCTTACTCTTTTGTTTGTTTCTGAGCCTTCTCTCCTATCACCTCTCATGTTTGATAATCTTTTACTTGTACATCTACTCATCCTATACTTCTATTTCACTAAAAGTACAGAAATGTAGGTAAGTCTGCTTATGGCTCCTATATTCAGGATTATATTGTTAAAGCTGTGACTTTGGCCTCTGGGATCAGAGCTGCCAAGAGCAAGACAAGTTCCCTGGCCAAGCGCTCTCGAGGGCAACAGAGACTGGGGCCAGAGGCCAGAGCTGAGCACTCACTATGGGGGCTTGCGACTAGGCTGGGAAGCCCAAGAGGGTCCCTTACTCATTTATTGCCCATGAGCAACCGATACACTTAGTTGGGAAACACACACACACACACACACACACATACACACATACAATCTTCTTTGAAAGAAGGGTTCCTATCAGACTGTCCAGTCAATAACAGCTACTTTCCTCCCCTTCCCCAGTGCAGGGCCCAGCTCTGTACCAAAAACAAACCTGACCTGAAGCAGGACAGGCTCAAACAGCTCAGCTCCCACACCCTGGCTCTTAGGGTTTGTCCAATCCCAATAGAACATAATAAGGAAACTGCTGATTTCCTTAAAAAAGAAAAAAAAAAAAGGAAAGAAATCCAAATCTGCCTAGGTTAACAAAGAAGGGAGGTTCTCCCTGTAGGAAGAGGCAGCAGGATTTGGAAGCCCAGGTTATTGTTCTCTGCGAAGGCTCACTAATTATCAACCGCCCCACAGCCAAGGCTGGCCTTGCCGGGGCAGGTTGGCAGAGGGGCTGCATTCCCTCCCCGTGTGCCCATGTCACCTGCTTTTTGACCTCCTGGGTTACAGCTAAGGCGAGGTTGCAACACATAAACAAGAATTTTCTAAAGAGACAAGAAGATGGCAGTAAACAGAAACGACTTCAATTTAGCTTCCTGCAAGTCTCCTCAGGGTCTGCCTGCAGCCTGGCTGTAGCTCCCGTATATCAGAAGCCATCTACCACAGAATAACAAAAGGGGGCTCTGTGGAATGCCAAAGGCCAAAAGCAGCTCAAGACACCACAGCAGTGCTCCTCAACCGGGAGCAATTTTGCCCTCCAAGAGGTATTTCACAATGTCTGGAGACATTCTTGGTTGTCACAACCGGAGGTGATACTACTGGAAATTAGTGAGCAGAGGCCAGGGATGTTGCTAAACATCCTGAAATGCACGGGGCAGGCCTCACAGCATGGAATTTTCTGGCCCCAAATGTCAGTAGGGCTGTGTTTGAGAAACGCTGCCCTGGAGGAAGACACTAGTTCACCTTTGTAAGAAAAACAGGGGACTGTGAATCTGATTCTGCTAGCATGAGCCCACCACCGTCACCAACCTGGAGGCTTCTAGGGGAGGAGAAGAAGGGCAAGAAGGACTGTGTATTAGAAAGTCACCAGTAATCACTGCAGCTCACAGGAGAGGAAGGGTGTGGTTGCCCCACACTAAGCCTGAGTAAGAGCAGACTTCAAGAAATCCATACCAGCAGCTTGACACGGGTCCTCTGGAATTTAGGAGAAAGAGGAGCTGGTAACCGGCTCTTCCAGGGTACACATCTAAACACAGGAGTCTGACTAGCATTGGCAGAGCAACCAGAGGAAAGACTTCATAGGGAGGAAGCTACACTTCTACCCACAGCACAAAAGGGCTGGCCTTGGGGTGCCATTAAAAAAAAAAAAAGACTCTACCTACAAGGACCCTCTGGAGGAACAGACATCCCCCTGCACAGGGACAGATTGCTAGGATCCCAGGGGCTGAGCATGACCCACAAACACATAGCCAGAGGAAAAGCATTGCCAGAAACAGATTCCAAGAAGGAATTTTTTAAAGACATGGGGTCTTGCTCTGTTGCCCAGTCTGGAGTGCAGTGGTGCAATCATAGCTCACTGCAGCTTTGACCTCCCAGGCTCAAGCAGTCTTGCCTCAGTCTCCCCAATAGCTGGAGAAAGGATTTCTGAGAAACTCGCAAAGGGACTCAAGGAGAGACAGTCATTTTGGACATCGGTCCCACCCAGAAGGGACCACTGCCAGACGTCAATGGTGTCCCTAACTCCCTGCACCCCACCCAGTGCCTGACCCTGGGGAGCCAAAGCAGCCAGCCAGTGAGCGTGAGATGAGGGAAAGCAAGGAGGGAAAATGAGCCGGCCGTGTTCCTCCCTGGCGGGTTTCTAAGTAGAAAGAAGGCCCAAGCTGCGGAGGAGAGAAGCTGTTGTATGATAAAAATATCACATTTTGAAATTGCACCAGGCTGAACCAGAGACATATGATTGTCAGACTGGACTGGGATTTTGGTTCTCTGAGAATAACGATCCAGGAATGTAAAATGGCACAGCTTCGGTGGAAAACAGTATAGCGGTTTCTCAAAAAGTTAAAAATAGCATTACTATATGATTCAGCAATTCCACTTCTGGGTATACACCCAAAAGAATGGAAAGCAGGGAACTTGAATAAAGACATTTGCACACCCATGTTCACATCAGCAGGGTTCACAATAGCCGAAAGGTGGAAGCAACCCATGTATCCAACGACAGATCAAAGGACAGACAAAATGTGATACAAACCTACAGTGAAATATGATTTGGCCTTAAAAAAGAAGGAAATTCCAACACACACTACAACATGGATGAGTCTTGAGGACGTTATGCTAAGTAGTATAAGCCAGTGACAAAAGGACAAACATTGTATGGTTCCATTTATATGAAGTACATGGTCAAATTCATAGAAACAATGTAGAATGGTGGTTGCCGAGGGTTGGGGGAGGGGAGAATGGACAGCTAGTGGGTCGTGGGTGCAGAGTTTCAGTTTGGGAAGATGGAAAGAGTTCTGAAGACAGGTGGTGGGGACGGCTGTACAATGATGTGAATCTACTTAAAAATGGTTAAAATGGTAAACTTTATGTTACACATATTTTACCACAATTTTTTTAAAAATTGGAAACAAAGAAACAAATAATAACCACCAAGGTTATGTGATCTGACCAAGACTTCTTCCAAAGAGCAAGTTAGAGTGAGGTCATAGAGTAAGTTCAGTGGGATCACTGGGGTGAAAATGAAGTCTGCTTCTACCTGCCTCTTGAGAAGTTCTGACCTGTTTAATAAACTAGTTACTCCTCTTTAATTCTCTGCCATTTGACAACGCCCCAGACTCCAAGCATCTTTTTGCTGCCGGCCCCTCAATCTGTCTTCTGAGCGCTAATTTGTGACCAGGACCTCCATGTCCTTGGATACTTATCACTGGTGGTGTCAAGGAAAGGAAACCACATTTCCAGAGAGGCACACCTTTGCAATGACCCAGCTGGGCTTTTTTCTTTACGTTACGTAAAATTGACTCTTTTTTTTTTTTTTTGGTACGTGGTTCTATGACTTTTAACACATGTAACAGCTTTGCTTTTAAAATCACAATTATACCAGAACCCCTCATAGTTATGGAGTGAGGAATCAGGATTACCTTACAGTGACAAAGAAAAGCCCTGTATCCCAGTCCTATGGCTGAAGTTCCTAATACTTTCTCCCAGGACTTTCAGGCGCAAAACCTTCACCTGCCTTGCCCCTTCTTCTACTCATTCCCCCATTCAGGGCTGCAGCACAGATCAATTGGGTTGTAGGGTGGGCACAATTTTCTGAGGGCTGGAGAGAGCTCCACTCTCTTCCCTCCCACAACAGAAGGCAAACACACTGGAATGCAAGCTCATGAAAGTGACTTTATGTAGGCATAGCCTTGAATCTGTCCTCACACATTTCAACGTTGGTGCTTTGTTATTTGTCATAAATTGTTTAATGGATACGCTACGCAAAAGATATCAACAACCTGATGACTGAGAAGCAATGCCAGCTATTAGAGAGAACTTTGATCTGGTTTCATATCCTAGCTCTACCACTTCCTAGCAGGGCTTTGTCCTTGAAATCTTGGTGCTTCACAGTTTTCATCTGTAAAGTAGGTCTACAGTTTTTACGGGGATTAATAAGATAAAGCACTTCACACAGAATAGGTATTCAATAAATGACAGCCTTCTGTGCACGTAGGTGTGACCTCAAATGGAACCGTGGAATTGCAACAAATAAAACCTCTCTCTACTTTTACTCGGGGTCTTATAGAAAAAAATTAAGAGACTCTTTCTGCTCCCATCACAAGACTAATGTACATGTCACAGTGCTTCCCTGGATTACATGTATCTGTTAGGGTGCTTTCAGTTCCGAGAACAGAAAACACAGCTAAATGTACCTGAAACCATAGAGCAGGTACTATCTCACACAACAAGACTATAGGTGGAACAGTTTTCGGGTTAATCAGTGACTGGACCCATATCTATGCAATTAGGGGCCTGGAGTCTTCCCTGCTTTCTCAGTGCAGTGACTTTTTCTTCAGGATGGTTGCTGCATGGTCCCAGCATGTCTGCAATAGCTCCAAGGACTTTATCCTTATACAATAACACACAGGGGGAGGAAAAGGAGAAGTGTCTCTAATGTGTTCTTTTGAAAAAAAAAAAAAATCTTTTCACAGAAGACCACCAGTCAGCAATTTTCCTTTCATATCTGGTTGACCAGAATTGGGAAATGTATCACATGCCCCTGCTTAACCAATTACTAGCAAGGGGAATGAGGCCAGCTGGAATGGCTTGGACTAATCAAAATTCACCCCAGGAGGGAGGTGGGGCTTCTTCCCTGAGTACTCGGGAGAATGAGTAGAAAAACAATTACCAAAAATAACATCTCTGAGGGCAGGGGCCAAATCTAATGTTGCATTTTTGCTTAACAGAGGGCTGTTTAATAGATGCTCAATAGACGATAATTGACATAGCCATTCAGAGCCTTACAAAAGCAACAGACTGGTATAATAAAAGACTTTAAAAGCGTAGGTATATCCCTGATTACTAATCACAGACAGCAAATGTCTGGTAAGTCCCCCCTACATCCCTTGGTAGTAAAGCATGTCTCCTGGCCTCTCGGAAGGAGTTACTGGTCTAAGGAAAGATGGTATTTCCAATTGATGAAAATCTGTAGTTATTCACTAATTTGGCAAATATTATTGAACAATTATATGTGCTAGATTTGGGGACACATTGTTGAACTTGATACATATGGTCTGCATCCTCAGGAGCTTAAGGGGGTGAAAAAGATATATTAAACAACAAACACTATATTTATGGGCAATTCAGAAGACTTGTAAGTGCTAATGAGGACCAGGATCCAAGAAAGGTCTAGGAATCAGAAAAGGTTTTACTGAGGAGGGGCTATTTAATGTAACAGCAGAAGAGGAAGTTCCCTTCATTCAATTAGAAAAAGTTCCACTGGAAGGTTACATTTAAGGAAATCTTTGCATGCAGGTGTGGAGTTAAATGTTAATGCAGACAGAAGGAATGACTTATTTAAAACATTCAGCAATGAATTAAGAATAAGGAAGAAAAAATAACCAGAGGTGACATGTATTGCCGTAGTGTTTGTCAGAAGACTTGAAGCTTTAATTATGAAACAGAAAATCAAGTTTGAATACCTCCTTAGTTGAGAAAATTTAAAAAATCTCTCCATTCTCATACTTCAACACTTCATATCACTGGCTAGTGACAAGGCTTAAAATAGAAAGGGTCAGTTGCTTTACAGTTCAGTTCTATACAACAACTTTTCCCCCACAAGCATCTCAAAGTCTTTTTTTTTTCTGTCACAGCTGATTACATGGAAAGACTTTATGACTACATATCTTATGATGCAGTTGCAAAATAATTATTTACTTATAAAATAAATATTCAGCCATTAATCTAGTTTTTAAAAATAGGAATTTACCTTTTATGTAAGACTTTGTATGAGATATCTGGCAACTCTCAGAAAAACAGGTCTCTCTCATTATGGTAACTGGATACATTTCAGCAGTGTGTTTGTGTGTGCTTGTCTTGCTGGAGAGGGGCCCTAAATCAAGCTGGCAGGTCCTCAAATACCGTCATTTTATTCAACATCTTTTCAAAATCACATTGTTGAGAAAGGCTGGGTGCGGTGGCTCATGCCTGTAATCCCAGCACTTTGGGAGGCCGAGGTGCGGGGGATTGCTTGAGGCTGGGAGTTTGAGACCAGCCTGGCCAACATGGCAAAACCCCGTCTCTACTAAAAATACAAAAATTAGCTAGGTGTGGTGACACCACCTGTAATCCAGCTACTGGGGAGGCCGAGGCATGAGAATCACTTGAGCCCCTGAGGTGGAGGTTGCAGTGAGCCGAGATCACACCACTGCACTCCAGCCTGGGCGACAGAGTAAGACTCTGCCTCAAAAAAACACTGATGAGAAAAAAGAATCACTTCCCCACCAGGGCCGCCGTCTGTGTGAGTTTGCATATTCTTCCCATGTCTATATGAGTCTTCTCCAGGTACTCGGTTTTCTCCCACATCCCAAAGATTGCGTGCATGTTAGATAAATTGGTGTATCTACAATATCCCAGTGTGAGTGTGGCTGTGTGTGTGAGTGCACCCTGCAATGGGATGGCATCCCATCCAGGGTCCAGGGAGGGTTCCCAGCTGCTGCCCTGAACAACCAAGAGGGACTCTGGCCACCCTCAATCCTGAACTGGAATAATCAGGTAAATAATTCTTACTTGTTTTTATTAATCTTTCTTAAGTGTGTCTATAGCTCACATTTATTTCAATATTTAATATTAGAAGGGCGTTGAGTCTTTATTTAGAATTTTGGTAATGTTTTTGTGACCACAAATATGCCATAAGAACTTGCTTGTTTATATCATTTAGCCTATGGTAAATATTTTTGTTATACTTCGTTTCACTTAAAGTTGCAGTTTCCAAGAGCTATCGACCACGTTCAGACTTAACTGTACTGTAACGTGTGTTTTTTCTCCATTGATTCCTACTAGGGTAATAAAATTGTCAACCTAAGGGAACAAATAAATTCTAGAAGTAAAGGCTTTCTACACAGTTGTTGCAGGAATACCAACCATAGGCTCTGGAGACGAATGGTTTAACAACTCACCATTGGCCAAATAAGGTCTCACCCCTGCTGTATTTGCACATGCTGTTCCATTAGCCCTAAACCATTCCTCTCACACCACTGTCGCTCATGCTTTCAATGGGACCAAAGGCTCAGCTGACCACCATAGAGTCAGCGAAGTCGCTTGTTAAATACAGGTTCCCTGCCCTACCTTCGAAGATTCTATTATAACTCGGTAGAGGAGGGGGGGGGGGGCAGAGAATATGAATTTTTGTCCCCTCCCTAAGTTCCTTCCAAAGCACCAGCAAACTGAGAACCAGCGCTAACACCCTCTCCAAATACCACTTTCTCTGGAAAACTCACCCAATCCTCTCAGCCTCCTCTCTGTTCTCCTAAACATCATATACTTGTAACCTGACTTTGGCACTCAGCACACCCAACCATGTACTTCCCTGCCTTTCCTCATCCTCTCCCTCATGAACCCCTCAAAAGCAGATCCATCCGCTTCCTCTTCCAATTCCAAGCACAAGGCTCAGAATCTTTGAACCCTTCACACATGGTTGTGGACTGAATCAGTAAATAAACAACTTAGGAAAAACACGTTCACTATTTCTTGAAGATAAACAGGTTTAGTTGGGGGCTGGTCCTTTGGAACTCAGGTGTGTCTGTTGGAACCCTCTAATGTTGCTCCTTTCGGGTGGGCTCTGTCTCCAGGAGCAGATCACCTCCCTGCGGCCCCACGGGGATAGCCCTTCTTCTGTGAGCTCTGACTTCAGGCTCCACTCCAGGATGCTTTCGCTTTCCTTTGACTAGGAGTGGAGTTAAAACAGTATTAAACTTTAACAACAGACGTTTAATTGCACAAATTGCAGCCTTGAGAGTCCAGGTTCTGAAAAGCATCGAATTTGAATGAAAGAGAAACATGTGTGATTTGGGGGAGAATTCTGAGTACATTTTAATAGGGTTCTACCAATTAATTTATCTCCTGGCTTCCACAAACACCATAATAAACTTGTCATTTTCTGAGAATTAACTCTTCGATTAGACGTGTCTGGACAATTGCATATTAACAATCTTCTGAACTCGTCGCCATAATGGGAGGACAAAGTGGATGAATGCAGAAAGAAGAAACAAAACAGGGGCCGGCAGCGTTGGGGCGCTCTTCTGCGGCGCGCTACAGCCGCGCTGCTGTGAGGGGACTGAATAAATGGGAGGCAACGCTGCCTCTTCCAAAAAACCGAGAAAGCAACCGGAGGACGTAGCCGCTCAGGAATGCCTGCGTCGTGATGCTTATTGACCGACGCAGAGCTTAAGTCTCGCTGCCTACGCGTTCACAATATAAACAGGAAGGATTAGGGTGACCCCACGTCCCCAAAGACTGAAGCAGTCCGAGGAAAGCTCTGGTTACCTTGCATCCTGAGCAGCCTGCCCCTTGATGACAGATGTCCCAGATTCGGGCATTCTTTTGTGGCTCATGGGAAAGCACGGCTAATCCGTGCGAGCCCGCGCGCTCGCCCCTCGGCTGCATTCAGCTCGCTCGCACAATGCGCTGGCGGAGCTCCCCGGCCTCGGGGGCCCGCGGGACGCCGGCTCCCCCCACCCCCAGCCCCGACCTCGCCGCTGGGCTTGGCGTCACCTCCACGTGCGTGCGCGCCTCGAGGTTCTCGGTGCAGAAGCGGGTGGGCGTGGGCGTGCGGGGAGAGTGAGAAGGAAAAGTGCTGGCTGCATGGAGAAAAGGGAAAAGCAAGACGGATCAGGCTGCTGTTTTTCTTCCCACCTGTTCTTGCTCGCTTCTCTGTTCTACCCAGGCTCTCCCCCACTTTTTAAGCCCTCCCTTCCCCGCCCTTCTCTCCTTTTCCATTCTCTTCGCACTTTTCAATGCACCAGGCTATAACAGCCTTGCAGGGAGTGGCTGAATTGTAAAGACTCTGTGAAGTAGGTACATTTTGCAGATGAGGAAACTGAGGCACACACGAGCCCAGGGGGCACTGGATGTGGAACCAGGCCTCCAGAGCGCGCTTTCTCCACCACTAAGCTGCAAGTTGCTGATGTCCCTAGCAAGGACTTCCCTGTTACCTGCACTGCCACCCTGCCGTAAACACATCTATGTTTCCATCTCAGCGGCCTCATTTAGCGAGAGCAACGAGTTCACACGCCAGTCAAATGGAGAAGACGTGGAAGAGACGGTTTCGTTTATCAGAGCATTTTCCACCAGCAAACCTGGCCCGGGTGGAAGTTCTCTTGCTTCAGTAAGGATGCAGGTTCAATGAGCGCTCTCACCTCCACCAGCTCCACTTTCCCCTCAAGGAACTGAGGAAGAATCCCTACCTCTGAGAAGGGGGTTTAAAAGCCAAGGTGTGAAAAACAGGGATGAAAGAGGGGGTTATTAACAGATGACAAATGATCTCCTTGGTATTCTGGAAAATACCGGAAGTAATATGCTGCATACCTGGGAATAACGTAATAATTCTGAAAACAACAAGGCAGGAAACAAAATCCGGAAAGTTCAGGGAGATTTGTAAAGATTTTAGAGCATGAGTCAGAAAACTGTGTTGAATATGTTGGAGCAGGGAGAGGGGGACGTTTCAATTTCATTACAGATTAAAGAAATGAAACAGCACAGAGATATCAGATTTCACCTATGAAACAGGGAGTGGAGGTAAGATCTAATGATGTAGAATGTGCCATGTCATATATTGCTGGTGGGAGTGCACTTAAGAGATGATTTGGAAATACTTATCAAATGCCTCAAAATATGTGTATTTTTGACCCAATAGTTCTATTTATGGAGTTTTATCCTAAGATCATAATTTACAATATGCCAGATAACTTGGATAGAAGAAGGGTCAATGTGCTGTTCTTAATACCTAAAGAATGGAAACAGATCCACATGCCCATCAATAGGGAACTGTTTAGAAATGTTACAGTAATCCACACAAACGAAAACTGTTGGCGACATATTGGTAACAGAAAGAAAGCAAATTTGCATATCACAGTACCTTTTTTGAAAAAAAAAGTATAAGGAAATATGTCTGGAAGAGCGTGTAAAATGTTAGCTGTGCTTAAAGGCTGTGAATGAGTTTTATGTTGTCCTGTGTTTCCATATTTTCCAATGTATCACCAATGAATACCTATTATATGAGTAATAAAGAAAATTGAAATATTGATTTTTGAGGAAAAAACAAATTTCTCTTTCTCCTTAATAATTGATGAGAGCAGCTTCTGACTCAAAGGCAGGACAAGTCCTCCAAGGAGGCGAGAATACTCATCCTGCTATGTGACTTTCATCATGGAATGAGAATCTTGCCACATGGGTGTCAGGTACCCATGCATAAGCATGTCCTTCAGTCAACAACAGAGAGTCCACGGGTCTTAGGTTCACACTGGGGAATTTAACTGAAAAGTGCTGTTATCCCATGCTTGGCCAATGCCTATCCAAGAGAAGTGATATTCACAGAGGACAGTCCAGGCGGTTTGCTGACCACTTGATCCTGCAGGTGTGCTTAGCACGTCTTTACTGCACAGTGGTAAGATCATTAGCTCTGCACAAACCTCATTCAACGAGCACTCCACAGAAATGCCTTTCCTGGGTTATGCTTTTATGTTTTACCCTTGACTTCCTTCTGGGTTTGAAATGAAGAGACCTTTTCTAATGGGTGCAGCAC
Organism: Homo sapiens; assembly: GCF_000001405.40. Lineage (NCBI taxonomy): Eukaryota > Metazoa > Chordata > Mammalia > Primates > Hominidae > Homo > Homo sapiens. The sequence goes on along the minus strand of NC_000001.11, from coordinate 243,915,269 downwards.
ACCAACATGGCACATGTATACATATGTAACTAGCCTGCACGTTGTGCACATGTACCCTAAAACTTAAAGTATAATAAAAAAAAGACTTCAAAAAAAAAGAAAAAGAAAAACACCTTTTCTATAAATCCCTTGCTGCAGAGGTTTTGAATGTTGTACACTGTCTCTGTGTGTTGACCCTGCTGATAAAATCCCCCCAGAGCAGTGATGTTTAAACCGAGCTCCCAGAAGCTGCTGTGGGGGCTGAGGGACCAAGGTCCTTTTCCACCAGAGGACTCTACCTTTACTTGTTCTATCGCAGATGCCAAATACATGGCAACCACAGAGCTGCTTAGGAAAGACACAATCTGATACCACCTTGATCAGAGCTAGTTTGGGATGCTTTAAAAGAGGGAAAAGAAATTCAACACAGATTTAAGTCACTGCTTCTGGAGGTATGACCTCACTATTGGAAGATTCTAAATGTCACTGAAACAAGCCAAAGATCATTTTTTTAAAAGAAACAACAAAATGGCCAGACGCGGTGGCTCACACCTTTTAATCCCAGCACTTTGGGAGGCCGAGGCGGGTGGATCAGGAGGCCAAGAGATCGAGCCCATCCTGGCTAACACGGTGAAACCCCATCTCCACTAAAAATACAAAAAATTAGCCGGGCGTGGTGGCAGGCGCCTGTAGTCCCAGCTACTCGGGAGGCTGAGGCGGGAGAATGGCGTGAACCCGGGAGGTTGCAGTGAGCTGAGATCGTGCCACTGCACTCCATCCTGGGCGACAGAGCCAGACTCCGTCTCAAAAAACAAAACAAACAAAAAAAGAAACAATCAAATAAGCCAGGCATGGTGGTGCACACCTGTAATCCCAGAATTTTGGATGGCCAGTGCTGCAGGATTACTTAAGCCCAGGAGTTTGAGACCAGCCCAGGCAACATGTTGAGACATTAGTCTCTTTAAAAAATAAAAGGAATACAAATGATATTGTGAAAATCAGAAATATATACTATATTTGTCTCCCAGGACTATAGTAACAAAGTACCACAAACTGGGTGGGTTAAAACAACAGAAATATATTGCCTCAAGATTCTGGAGGCTAGAAATCTGATGAAGGGTGTTCACAGTGCCATGCTCCCCAACACAGATAGGGGAGAATCCTTCTCGCATCTTTTAACTCCTGGTGTTGGTTGGCAGTCCTTGGCATTCCTTGGTTGGTCGATACATCATTTCAGTCTCTGGCTTCATCACCACATGCCTATCTTTTCCTCATGTGTTTCTCTGCTTTTCTTGTAAGGACACCAGCCATATTGGATTAAGGGTCCATCCTACTCTAGTATGACCTCACCTTAAGTAATTACAACTACAACAACCCTATTCCAAGTAAGGTCACATTTTGATGGGCTAGGGATTAAGACTTCCACATATCTTTTAAGGGGACACAATTCAACCCATAATATCTTCCTACAGAGCTAACTTTTTTAAAACCAACTGTCTGATCTTGTGTAAATGATATTTGTATCTTGAAATAAAATTCCAACGACTACATCATACATAGATTAAAAAGCTATATCCCAATGGCCGGGCGTGGTGGCTCATACCTGTAATCCCAGCACTTTGGGAGGCCAAGGCAGGTAGATCACCTGAGGTCGGGAGTTGGAGACCAGCCTGACCAACATGGAGAAACTCCATCTCTACTAAAAATACAAAATTAGCTGGGTGTGGTGGCTCATGCCTGTAATCCAGCTACTCTGGAGGCTGAAGCAGGAGAATCGCTTGAACCCAGGAGGCAGAGGTTGTGGTGAGCCAAGATTGCACCACTGCACTCCAGCCTGGGCGACAACAGCGAAACCCCGTCTCAAAAAAAAAAAAAAAAAAAAATCAATGTTTAGTTTCTTCATATCTAACCTGAACAGGGATGGACTAGAATAGGAAAAAAAAAATAGAGTGTGCTTCCAATGAAGCCATTAAAACAAACTCCAAAGCCATGACTATGAACAGAGGGGAGCCACTGTGGGACTGTAGGCCTCAGTATTTGGGGTCCTGGAGTGCATTGTCTGTCTGTGCAGTGGCTCACTGGCCACATCATCCACTGTGAGCGCATCACCCACTACCATAAGCCTGCTCTTCCACTATTCTCCTTGACCAAGCATGGCACCACCATCCTCTAGGTTATTCAGACAAACCGTCTTGACTCCTTCCTATCCATCTCTTCTACCAAATTAATCTCCAAGACTTGCCAGTTCTCCCTCATAAGTATCTTTTGAATCAATGTCCTATTAAAAATAAAGATTGGCATTTAGTACACACTTAGCTCATCTCAGGCACAATTCAAGTGCTTGATTTGTATTAACTGTTTTAATAGAGTACAACTCTATGTAGTAGGTACAAAGACTACGTTGATTCTCAAGATGAGGACATGGAGGCACATAAGGTCATATTAAATAACATTGTCAAGGTCATACAGTAAAAAAAGACAGAGCCTGGATTCAAACCACAGATGACTGCCTTCTGAACCCATCCTATTCTTAATGACAGTCATGTACAGCCTGGAAAGCCTGTTACTCTCCCCTAAAAGTTGACATTCCCCGTCAGAGCTGAGCGTTTTATACCTCCCACCTCTTTACCCCTTTCCTCCCTCCCTACCCTCAGCTGATGACCTTGCCTTCCTAGAGAAACTAGAAGCCACCAAATCTATAAACTGGCATTCATCAGTTCCCAGCTTTTCTTTTCCTTTCCTTTTTTTCTTTTCCCTTTCTTTCTTTCTTTTTCTTTCTTTCTTTTTTTTCTTTCTTTCTTTTCTTTTCTCTTTTCCTCTCTTTCTTTTTCTCTTTCTCTCTTTTCTCCTTCCCTTCCTTCCTTCCTTCTTTCCTTCATAGAGACAGGGTCTGGCTCTGTCCCTTAGGCTGGAGTACAATGGCACAAACTTGGCTCACTGTAGCTTCAAACTCCTGGCCTCTAGCGATCCTCCCACTTCAGCCTCCTGAGTAGCTAGGAATATAGGCATGTGCCTCCATGCCTGGCTAACTTTTGTTTGGGGTTATTTTTGTGGGGGATAGAGATGGGGGTCTCTCTATGTTGCACAGGCTGGTCTTGAACTTCTGGGCTCAAGTGATCCTCCCACTTCGGCCTCCTAAAGTGCTAGGATTACAGGCCTGAGCCATTGTGCCCAGCCAGTTCCCATCTTTTCTATCACCCCAGTTATAATGGAAGAAGTATCTTTCCTTGCTCTTAAAAAAGCCAGATTTTGATGTATTTATTTATTTATTTGTGATGAGGTTGGAACTGTCACACATTGAAGACTACCTTTCTTTCTTTGTTTTTTTTTTTTGTTTGTTTGTTTTTTTGTTTTTTTTTGCCATGGCTAATCCTTTTATTACTAGTATAACATTGTTAAAGTTTTTTTTTTTTTTAATTTTACTTTAAGTTCTGGGATACATGTGCAGAACGTGCAGGTTTGTTACATAGGTATACATGTGCCATGGTGGTTTGCTTCACCCATCAACCCTTCATCTAGGTTTTAAGCCCCACATGTATTAGGTATTTATCCTAATGCTCTCCCTCCCCTTACCCCCGACCTCCCTACAGGCCCCAGTGTGTGATGTTCCCCTCCCTGTGTCCGTGTGTTCTCATTGTTCAACTCCCATTTATGAGTGAGGACATGCAGTGTTTGGTTTTCTGTTCCTGTGTTAGTTTACTGAAAACAATGATAAAAACCAGATTCTTAACCTGGGGTCCAGAGACCCACAAGAGGCTCACGGGGAGAATTCAGATGTTTTGTGAATTTAGGTGGGAAAAATATTACAGATGTTTTGTGAATTTAGGTGGGAAAAATATTACATCTCTATTTCCACTAATCCAACAAACTACAGTCATATTAGCAAGACTTTTACC